>NC_000011.10:104748182-105051212 GCF_000001405.40 Homo sapiens | reverse complement strand
AATGAGAGATTGTAGATATTGCAAAAAAAGTGAATAACTTTAAGATATGGATCTTATAAAAATTCAAGAGCTAATTGCACATTAGAGAAATTAACAGATGAAAACTTGATAGAGATGTGTGCTTCTGAACCAGTTCCAAATGATGAGGAAGAAGATGTAGAAGAAGTAGTGCCAGAGCACAAATTGGCATTATAATTTGGCAGAAAGATTCTGATTTTTCAAAGCAGCTTTTGACCTGTTTTACAACAAAGACCATTCTATGATATGAGCACTGAAACTAAGGGAAATGGTGAAAGAAAGATTCATACTGTCTAGAAAAAATTTTAGGGAAATGGAAAAGCAAAAATGTCAGACAGAAATAACTATGCATTTCCACAAATATAAATGCAGTGTGCCTTCTTCTCCTGTGTCCTGTTCCACCTCTTCTTCTGCTTCTGCCACCCGTGAGACTGCAAGACTAAGCCATCCCCTTCCTCCATCTCTTCAGCTTACTCAATGTGAAGACGATGAGGATGAAGACCTTATGATAATCCACTCTCACTGAGTCAATAGTAGATATATTTTCTCTTCCTTATGATTTTCTTAACAACTTTTTTTACTTTAGCTTACTTTATATTACAGTATATAATACATATAAAATACAAAATATTTGTTAATCAGTGGTTTTTGTTACTGGTAAGGCTTCTCTTCAATAGCAGGCCATTAGAAGTTAAGTTTGGAAGGAGTCAAAAGTTATATGCAGATTTTCTTTTCTTTTCTTTTTTTTTTTTTGCGACCGAGTCTCGCTTTGTCTCCCAGGCTGGAGTGCAGTGGTGCGTACTCAGCTCACTGCAAGCTCCACCTCCTGGGTTCAAGCCATTCTCCTGCCTCAGCCTTCTGAGTAGCTGGGACAACAGGCACCCGCCACCATGACGGGCTATTTTTTTGTATTTTTAGTAGAGATGGGGTTTCACCGTGTTAGCCAGGATAGTCTCGATCTCCTGACCTCCTGATGCGCCCGCCTTTGCCTCCCAAAGTGCTGGGATTACAGGCGTGAGCCACCGCAACCGGCCACAGATTTTCAACTGAATATAGGGGTCAGTGCCTCTAAGTATTTCATTGTTTAAAGGTCAACTGTACATCTCTGTATCTTCCACATTATATACATTTTCGCAGATTTGTGTGTCTGCCTTTTAATCTGTCCATTATTAAATATAACTAATTTTTGTATTTATACATGCTCTATTTTTATTGTTTCTCAAATTATTGCTTATTATAGAATAATTACTTTTTGCTCCCTTTATTTACATCCTTCTATATTTGATATAGAATGATTTCATTCTATATTTGATATTTGATTTGTCCAATATCTCAATGTCCTTCAAGATTTAAATTTATAGTCTCTTCTTTCTGCTGATATATCCTTATAGTGGCTTGCTTTCTAGTGTATTTATATACTTCATCTGTCAGTGTAGTTTATATTCTGAGTGGGCTGAAGGAAAAGAATGGCTTCTGTTTCTGCTGCTAGGCAACACACCACATCCAAGACCATGTCTATCCCTCCTTGGGGATTTGGCTCTATCTGGTTCCAAGATGAGACTCTAACTTGTAGAGGTTCCATGGGTCAGTTATTATCTATGCTGTTGGTGTAGAAATCTGACACAAGGAGACCACACCCCTCCTGGCCACTTGCCTGTCCAGGCAAGCTCTTTACTGCTTCATCTTCGCTCCTTCCTACTCTTCTGCAGCTTCTTTCTGTAGTCAGCACCAACTCCCAGACATTCTTACCCCTTCTCCTGTCTCCAACACTCAGTCCAATCAGGACCCAGCTCCTGGTTCACATGGTACCAGCAATGCCTCAAAGAACATGTCCTATTAAATTCTGGATGTGGCAGTGCATGAAGTCTCAAGGGTGAGGGTCAGGATGAGATTTTGGTTTCATAATCTGGGGTTATTCCAAGTACCAATATTTTTAAACGGTTCGACAAGAGGAACCAATATAGATGAAGTATCTATTACAGAGCCTGGGCCTTATTAAGCACTCAATATGAAATAGTTACTTTAGAAGCATGTTAACGTGACTCTCCTACTTAGGAAGCTGCAATGGTTTCCTATTGCCCATCTCATCATTTAAATAGTTTACTGGGGCTGACTGTTATAAATTATCATAGTCTAGATGCATTTAACTCAGAATTTATTTCCCACTGACACAAAAAAGCACCTTTTATCTGCTTATCTACTTCCTATTTCCCAGTGTAGTTAGTACCCAGTTGAAGAGGAGTGCATCACATACAGCAAGTAATGAGTGAGGTGGTGGGCTGGCTTCTCACCCAGTTCTCCAGCTTGGGCTTACCAAGGCCTTGAAGCAATTTTTTACCTGATCTTCCTATCATAAAATGAAATTAATGCTTATTCAACATACTGAAGTGAAGCATATGAAAAATTTAGAAGTACTTAACCAAAAAGTACATTTGTACATGACCTTGCTTCTGCTCTATAGGTCATGACTACCATAAATGAGAGGTACTATGGCATGATCTCTACACCTGGCATTGCATCCTAGAAGGTAAGAATGATTAGGAGGCCCCTTCTATACACGAGAACACAGAGGCTGAGAGATGTTAAATAACTTGTCCAAAATCTAATAGCTCATAAACAGAAGTTGACCTCAGGACTGTTAGATACCCAAGTCCACACTGATAAGCTGTGCAGAAAAGGGGAAGGTTTTAGACAAAGAAAACATAAAATAACATGTTATAGTTGATTAGTGTTCTGAATTGTATTACTCAAAATGTGCTAATGGTCCACAAATATAAATAAGAAGAGGAGTTGGATAAACTGAAAGGGTATATGATGTTCTAAAGCTTGGAAATGGGATGGTCAAAACCCAAGCACAGGAATTTTCTGTCTTCTATGTCAGAGGTTCTTATAGTACCTACTCTGTCATTTAAAATAATATTGTTTCACAGACTTCACACTGATAGAAGGATTTTTAAATCATTATGCAGATTTTAAATATCACTTACAGTAGAATTGCTACATTCATTTATTTTAAGATAATTTTACTTACGTAATGCTATTTTCCAGGTACATATTTCAGTCAATAAATTGGTTCCTGTAGGTTATCTCCCCTCTGTCTACCTATCCCCCTCCAATGTGGGTGGCGGGTAATTACATTTCAGCCACTATGAGAACTGCTTCCTCTTACCAGAATTATGGGTAATTTTTGGAGGCTTGATTGTGTCCTGAAATCAAGAAAAAAAATGTTTTTCCAAATTAGTCTGTTATTACTACCATTGACCTTTTTCATTTCAAATTTTAACATTATTTTAGTATAATTTACATAAAAGAAAATGTACCCCTTTTAAGAATATAAATTGATTATTAATTACACAAGAATATTTAGTATAATATCCCATTTAATAGACAAACCGATATTGTCACCCCAAAAAATTTTGTCTTGCCCTTTGTTCTCAATTTCCTTCCATTTCCTCCTCTGATAAGCAGTGATTGAATTTCTACCACTACACATTAGATTTTTCTAATCTAGAACTTTATATAATTGGAATCACAGGGTATGTGCTCCTTCCTATATGGCTTCTTCCACTCATAATGAAAGTATAAGTTTTTCATCCATGTTATTGCATATATTAGTAATTTTTTCCTTTTATGACTGAATAGTATTTCAGTGTATGTGTCTAGCACAAATTGTTTACTTATGCTCCTGAATTGGAATTTGAGTTGTTTCCAGTTTTTGACATCTTCCTTTTTGAGGAAATAGCGAGCCTTTGCACTCTAATGGCTCAGTGTTTACATTCCCAGGACATGACTCAAAGCTCATGATTCTACATCCCCAGACACATGGTCTAATCATTGTTTCTGTGTCCTGGATGCCACTTTGGCATGCATAAACTCCGTGGTTCTTGGCTCTGGCTGGTGGGGAGAAACCCTCATGTGAAACCCTTAAGCAGCAGAAAAAATAAATGAGTCAGTACATAAATTTAAAAGTAAATAAACTAAAGAGAAGTGGTGCACAGACAATTTCTGCTTTCTTCCATGCTACAAATCCTTCCAGCGGCAAGGAGCTCAAGATTTTGCTGCAATCGGATTAGGTCATTGGCAGAGTAAAGATAAAAACACCATGAAAAACACCTTAGATTAAAAGCCACGTCATTGTCCTCCTACACAGTCCGTTCTACTTAACCAATGACATTTAACTCTTAGCCTGGAGCACAGGAAGTAAAACTGGTAGCCCACATGTCAAACCGTAAATATTTTTGTAAATCTGGTCATTATCCTCCAAAGGTAATAACGTAACAGCCCAAGAAAATTTTTGGTAAAAAAAAAAAAAAATGATAAATGAAATGTACCGTGTGCATTTTGCTATTAGTCCATCTTCCATCAAGTTTATTCATGAAATAAATTAGCCACATTGAGTTTATTTCTGGGATAATCAATTCAGCATGTACTGACAAAGGCAGAGACCTCTTCTGGCCTTCCCTGGCTCCTCTGTGTACAATTTTCATGAGTCCTGCAATACTTTGTCTCCCACTTCTCCAATTAATTTCTTATTCTTCTCATCGCTTGGCATATTTTCACATTCTAAATATTCCAGTTACATATTACATACCAGGTTTCATGTGTATCTTTCCCTCTTGAATGTGCGAGCAAGAGGGAAAGGATCATAATATATGTTTTGATGGAACCCCTGACACCGAGAACCATGTTGTCCACATATATTTGCTAAATGAATGACTGGAGGCACTGCTTGAGGATTCTAACAAAAGATAAACTTAGCTAAAAAATCTGCAAATAATCATCCTTGATTATTTTTCTAAACTGAAATATTTCTATTAATTATAGTAATATCCCTCATTATCTGCTTACCATTTGCCAGGCAATGTTCCATTCATTTTTCACATTTTTATCTCAATACTGCTCAAAACTGTGTAGATGTGTATGTACTATTAATAATATTATTTTACAGACAGAGGAACCAATGTATAAAGAAGTTTAATATCTTGCCCAGGAAGGTGAGTTTAACTTGCTAGGTTCAACATTCTGAGTTCAGAGTCTATGCTTTGGGCCTCTGTGATGCAATGTCCCTCAAAAGAAAGCCATCCAAGATGAGTGAGTGGCTCATGGCTCATGCCTGTAATCCCAGCTCTTTGGGAGGCCAAGATGGGCGGATCGCTTGAGCGCTGGAATTCAAAATCAGCCAAGGAAACATAGGGAGAGCCCGTCTCAACAAAAAATACAAAAATTAACCAGCCCTGATGGGATTTGCCTGTAATTTTAACTACTCAGGAAACTGAAGTGGGAGAATCATCTCAGCCTAGGGAAGTGGAGGCTGCAGTGAGCCGTGGTCATGCCACTGCACTCCAACCTGGGCAACAGAGTGACATCATGTATCAGAAGACAAAACAAAACAAAAAAGCCATCAGGAAAGGAAGAACATTAAATAAGAAAAGCTTTAATATTGGTGAAAAATGTTTACATTTCTTAAAGCAAAATTGCTTCACAGGGACATATATTTCCCACAAACTTTCCCCAAAGCTGTGAGGTGGGGTCAAGGGAACAGTGGTTCACATTCTCCAAAGGTTGTGTTAATTTTTTCGGTCAAGTTTTCGAATGAATGGGAAACTCTTCACTGTGTGAATTTAACTGTACACATACTTTCTCAATCCTGGGGCTTATTCTCTAAGCCCCATTCCCCTCCTACCCTGATCTATCCAAGGGCTGGAGAAAAAAGAATTCCCTTGGATACACTCTCTGATGCAGGCTACAGTTCTGATTCTTTCTCTGGGAAGAAAAATAAAGATATGCATATGAATGTGCAGTGGGTGTTTCCCAATATGTGTACACGCCCTGCCAAAAAGGAAGGCGAAACATACTTTCAGTTTCAGCCCACACAAGAAGGGTAGGAGAGAAAAGCCATGGCCGGTGAGTCTTTTACTGTTCCAAGAACAGGTCCCTGGGAAGAAAGAGTTGTGGAAAGGGCTGGCTCTTCTGGAAGCCATAATTAGTATCTGTGGAAGTTTAGGTGAGCAGAAGTGAGGGAGAGGGAGGAGTGGGAGGAGAGAAGGAACTAGAAGATTTTTGCAGGCTTTAGAAAGAAAAGGCAAGCCCAGAAAGGAACAGAGACTTTAGGGGTAGCCTGCTGTCATTTTGCAATCTTAATTAAACCCTTGCTTACCTGTCGTAAGTCTGACAGAGGGTACAGAATTGGCACAGGAGGAGTACTAGCAGCAGTGGTTCCTAAATGAAATGGGCTATTTCTGCTTCATTACTTTATTATTCAGAGTTAAATAAACATGGGACACAAGAGGATGATCTCTGCTTTCCAGGGACTGATGTGGAAATGGTAAACTCAGTCTTCAGGTCACTCCATGCACATATATGGGGACTACTGAGGGAAACAAGTAGGACAGCAATACAGTAAGAAGAGGGATTACCCAACTGTGAGGAGGGGGACATTTCACTGATGAAATCTAAATGAGGTCACTTTCTGTTGATGACGTGAGAGGAATATGAGGCTGTTTTCATGATGTGAGAAATCCTTGTGCTCCAAACAGACAAGGTCCTGAAGGAGAAGAGAAAGCTGTTTATCCATTCCATGGGTGAAGGTACAATAAATGGCTTACTGGATGAATTATTACAGACAAGGGTGCTGAACCAGGAAGAGATGGAGAAAGTAAAACGTGAAAATGCTACAGTTATGGATAAGACCCGAGCTTTGATTGACTCCGTTATTCCGAAAGGGGCACAGGCATGCCAAATTTGCATCACATACATTTGTGAAGAAGACAGTTACCTGGCAGAGACGCTGGGACTCTCAGCAGGTAAGGGTCAGTGACTCACACTCAAGTTCACCTAGGGCCTGTCTTCGTGCCTAACATTTGATTTCTTTACTAGTCATGTTAATCTGCAGAATATCTTCTTATCTCTGCCTTTGGGCCATATTTCTGTAGCAGAGGCCCTATTGCATGTCCCTTGACTCTTTTTTGTGTTCCTTCATCCTCAGTGCCCTCTTCTGATTAAAGTTCATTTTCTGTTCTGAGTACATGGTAGCTAATTTCCTTAAGGTCATGAGAACTATCTAGAAAGCTTCATACAATATGTTCCAGTGTTCCTGGCAAGGCACGATATTTATTGATTGATTTATTATTTTGTGTCCAGGGTGTCCCTAAGCCCTTATGTAGTTGTTTGACATGAGCTTTAGGGTCTGTATTCAAATACTTTTTATAAATTCTTTTCAAACTTTTGCCCTCAGAGAAGAATAAAGTATATTTAAGTGACGATGATACGTTCAGGAAATACATTCAATGATTACAGAATAGTAAAGATTTCAACAGGGCTCTTTCCTCCCGTTGCCCCCATGCATTTTCTTTTGAGTAAGATCTGCTTGTCTGTTGCCAAGCTGCAGATCATACTGGGAGGCCTGGACTTCCATCATCTGCAGCCCTCCTAGGGCCTGATACAGTGCTCAGGAAATGAGCTTGCCCATTCTTATAATCCCTTGAACCTACAGCATGGTGAGGATGGGAGTTTTGGTGCACTTGAACATTATTTATTGTCATTTAGTCAGGGTTGTGGGAGGAATTTGCAGTGAGGAGTGGCTTATGCATTGCTGTAAAGTTTTCCAGAGATGATAAGTGGCTATTTCAATGTTCTTCATCTTTTTATAGGTCCGATACCTGGAAATTAGCTTAGTACACAAGACTCCCAATTACTATTTTCTTCCTTCCCAGGTAATGTTGTTTTTCAATGAAGAGCATTCTTTGAACCCCATCTTCTTTAACATTAATTTAGTGGAATGAGCTCTGCTTGAAGGGGCTATGGAGAATTCCCATAGACTGATCATATAATTTTCTTTTTTAATCTATTCTGTTTTTGCAGAAACTGTTCCCAAAGCTTTACTACTCTTATTTATACTAACAAAATCTGAATTTGTATCTCAAATTCTGATTACCCAAATAAGTACCAAACTTCATCATTTAAGACTACTGAAATATTCCCTCACATCTTCCAGAGACACATTTATGTAAACAATTTCAGAGCTGAACATGCCATTCTTCCCCACCCTGCTTCTCTTACAGTTTTGTGTAACTTGGTTTTTGATGCCACCATCACCAGTTGTTCAATCCAGGAACTTGAAACTCATCTTGGCCCCCTTCCTCTCATGCACCTCCAATATTCAAGCCATGGCCAAGTTTTATGCATTCTTCTCTCAAATTTGGAAATGTCTCTTCATTCTTACTTCTATTATTTTATTAAAGAACTCTTATTCCTTAAGTGCCCCCCTTAAAATAAAAGAAACTTATATTTGAAAGCAATTTAGAGGCTAGAAATGCATGTTTTTATCAAGTTCAGATATTACTCTACTGAATTTATTAAGGATGATTACCTCATGAATGTTTTCTTAAATGTTTCACAGCATGGGATACTCACTATATAACCAAATACTGTATTCTCAAAAATAACTCAAATGCTTTTCTTTAGTTTTTCTCTATTGCTTTCACAAATCCTTACAAAGAAACCAAACATTTCTTCTACTAAATTATTATTTTATAGTTTTCTCCAATATAATCATTCTAATTAGTTCTTCTCCATGTCAACACACTTCATGCTGCCTTTGTTTATCTGATTGTATAGCAGTTTTTCAAATTTGTTTGCAAAATTAAATATTATTATTTTGCCTTAATAGTTTCTAAAAGATCCTCTGGATATCTAGAAACCTCAGTTCTATCTTGAAACAAACATCACATTAATTTTTTAACAAGTGCATCACATTGTCAGATTGTGTTGATCTTGTGATGAAATAAAAGCCTCAAAGATTTTCTCACATAAACTCTGTGAAAACATTTCCTCATATGTTCGTGAAAGCAATGTTTAGTGCTATGAATCCATCTAGAGCACACCATGATTTTAGCATTCATCGTTCTATTTTATATTTATTCTAGTTTACGTATTCAATATTCTTGTCCTCCCATATGTATACATTGTAGGAGGAGATGCTGAAGGACAGGAAAAGGGATCATTAAAAAAATATTCCCAGTGTTTACTACCATGTCTATTAGGTAAATAAATAAAAGGATAAACACATATTTTAAAAATTAATTAGTGTTAATTAAGACCTGCTCCCATTAAATTTTATCCTAGGGTTTGAATCCTTTGAAAACAAATCATATTTTAACTATTTTATATCACTCATTGACTGTTTCCTGAGTGTTTTATCATGCATGGCCTTGAAAAGCTTCCTCTCTGTTTTTATCTAAGATGCTTGTAGAAATACTTATGCTCAAATATGAAAGTAGATCCTCCCTGTAATGCATACCTAGAAATCTCTGGCTTGAAATGTGCTCCATTAGCAGCAAACGCACTCAACTATGTTAATGACTAGATTAGGATTGTCCTCTAGGAATGTATTTCCTCTTTTGTAGCTTCCTCCATAGGTGAGGCTATAAGAACAAAGAGGGATACCACTGTTCATGATATTCCTTGTCTCTTGCAGCTCTTCAGGCAGTGCAGGACAACCCAGCTATGCCCACATGCTCAAGCCCAGAAGGCAGAATCAAGCTTTGCTTTCTAGAAGACGCTCAAAGGATATGGAAACAAAAGTTGCAGAGGTGCCATGTTCAGAATACAATAATAAAGTGGAGTGAAAGATATACTTCAGGCAGTTTTGAAATGCAGTGGCTTTTTCTTAGAACCAATTTTATTGAGCGGTTCTGGAGGAACATACTTCTGCTCCCCTTGCATAAAGGATCTCTATATCCTAGAATCCCAGGTTTAGGTAAAGAGTTGCAAACTGGAACTCATAAATTATCATAGTCTTCACCCAGTCTGTCTCTTAGAATTTATTTCCCACTGACACAAACAAGCCATTTTGTCTGCTTGTATAACCCAGATTTTCCAGTGTAGTGCCCAGTTGGAAAAAAGCACATCCCATTGAGCAAGTATTGAAGTGGACTCTTGCTTCTCACCCAATTCTCCAACTTGTGTTTACCAAGAATTGGAGTCAGTTTTTTACCTGTTGTTCCTATTCATAAAATGAAATTAATGTTTATTTAACATATTGAAATGAAGCATATGAATAATTTAGAAGCACTTTACCAAAAAGTACATTTTAACATTACCTTGCTTCTGGGCTATAGCTTATGACTACTATAAATGAGAGGTATAGTGGCATGCTCTCTACACCAGGCATTGCATCTTAGAAGGTAAGAATGATAATGAGGCCCCTCCTATACATGAGAACACGGAGGATGGGAGATGTTAAATAACTTGGTTAAGATCTACAGCTCATAAATAGAAGTTGACCCTAGGGCTATTAGATGCCAAAGTCCACACTGATAAACCGGGCAGAAAGAAAGAGGCTTTTAGACAAAGAAAAAATAAAATAACATGTAATAGTTGATTAGTGCTCTAAGTTGTATTACACAAAATGTGCTGATAGTCCAAAAATATAACTAAGAAGAGTTGGATAAACTGAAAGTGTCCATGAACTTCTAAGGCTTGGAAATGGGATGGCCAAAACCCAAGCACAGAATTGTCTGCCTTCTATGTCAGAGATTTTTACAGTACCTACTCTGTCATTTAAAATTATATTGTTTCCCAGACTTCACACTGACAGGATTTTATAACATTATGCACATTTAAAATATTACTTATAATAGAATTGTTACATTCATTTATTTTGAGATGATTTTACCTTTGTAATTCTATTTTCCAAGTACACATTTAAGTCAACAATTTGGTTCCTATAAATTATATCCACTCTGTCTACAATTCCCCATCCAACTTGGGTGGTTGGTAATTACAACTCAGTCACTATAAGAACAACTTCCTCTTACCAAAATTTTTACAAATTTGTGGAGTGTGTCCAGCCAGAAATCAACAAAAAAATATATATTATTACAACCACTGACCATTTTCGCTTCAAAATTTTAATGTTATTTTTGTATAATTTACGTCAAAGAAAATGTACTCCTTTTAAGAATACAAGTTGATAACTAATGATACATGGCTATTCTAGTATAATAACATCCTAGTGAATAGGCAAACCGATTTTGTCACCCCAGAAAGTTTTGTCACGCCCATTGTTATCAATCTCCTTCCACTTCCTCCTCAGATAAGTAGTCATCGAATTTCTATCACTGTACGTTAGTTTTTCCTAATCTAGAACTTTATATAATTGGAATCACAGGGTATGTGTTCCTTCCTATATGGCTTCTTTCACTCATAATTGAAACATATTTTTTTCATCCATGTTATTGCATATATTAGTAATTTTTCCCTTTCATGACTGAATAGCATTTCAGTGTACATGTATAGCACAAATTGTTATTTTATGCTCTGGAATTGGATATTTATTTGTTTCCAGTTTTTGACATCTTCATTTTTGAGGAAACAGTGGGCCCTTGCAATCTAGTGGCTCAGTGTTTAGCTTTCCATGACATGAGACTCAAGGCTTATGGTTCTACATTCCCAGATATATGGTCTAGTCATGGCTTCTGTTTCTGGGATGTCACTCTGACATGCTTCAACTCAGTGGTTCATGGCTCTGGCTGTGGGCGAAACCCTCATGTGAAATACTTTAGTTAATAGAAAAAAAATTGAATCATTTAAAAGTACATGATGGGAAGATAAGTAATACACAGGCAATTTCTGCTTTCTTCCATGCTACAAATCCTCCCAGTGGCAAGGAGCACAAGTTTGTGCTGCCATCGGATTAAGTCATTGGCAAAGTAAAGATAAAACACCATGAGAGGTTGGGCATGGTGGCTCACATCTATAATCCCAGCACTTTGGGAGGCCAAGGTGGCCAGATTACGAGGTCAGGAGTTTGAGACCAGTCTGGTGAACATAGTGAAACCCCATCTCTAGTAAAAATACAAAAAATTAGCCAGGTGTGGTGGTGCCTGTAATTCCAGCTACTTGGGAGGCTGAGGCAGGAGAATCACATGAACCCGGGAGGCGGAGATGGCACCATTGCACTCCAGTGGGGTGACAGTGCGAGACTCTGTCAAAAAATAAAAAATAAAAAAAAAAAACGATGTCCTCCTACACAGTGAGTTCTAGTCAAACCCAAACACATTTAACCCTTCACCTAGAGCACAGAAAATAAAACTGGTAGCCCACATGTCAAAAGGTGGATGTTTTTCTAACTCTGGGTCTTTAATCTCCAAAAATATTAAGGTAACAAATCAGGAGAATTTTTGGTAAAGAATTTGATAAACGTAACATACCGTGTGCATTTTGCAATTAGCCCACCTTTCATCAAATAGATTTATAAAATAAATTAGCCACATTGAGTTTGTTTCTGGGATAAGCAATTGAACATGTGATTGCAAAGGCAGAGACCTTTTCTGGCCTTCCCTGGCTCCTCTGTCTAAAGTTCATGAGTCCTGCAATATTTTGTCTCCTACTTTGCCAATTTTTTTTTTATCATTCTCATCACTTGCTACATTTGAACAGTCTGAATATTCCAGTTACATATTACATACCAGGTGTATTAGTCTGTTCTCATGCTGCTAATAAAGACATACCCAAGACTGGGTATTTATAAAGAAAAAAAGAGGTTTAATGGGCTCATAGTTCCACATGGCTGGGGAAGCCTCACAATCATGGTGGAAGGCAAAAGAGGAGCAAGGACACATCTTCCATGGAAGCAGACAAAAAGGCATGTGCAGGGGAACTCCCCTTTATGAAGCCATCAGATCTCATGAGACTTTTTCACTATCATGAGAACAACATGGGAAAAACCCACCTCCATGATTCAATTACCTCCCACCAGGTGCCTCCCATGACACCAGGGGATTATTACAATTTAAGGTGAGGTTTTGGTGGGGACACAGAGCCAAACTCTGTCATTCTGCCCCTGGCCTCTCCTAAATGTCATGTGCTCACATTTCAAAACCAATCCTGCCTTCCAACTGTTCCTCAAAGTCTTCACTCATTCCAGCATTAACCCAAAAGTCCAAGTCCAAAGTCTTCTCTAAGACAAGGCAAGTCCCTTCCACCTATGAGCCTGTAAAATCAAAAGCAAGTTAGTTACTTCCTAGATACAACGGGGATACAGGCATTGGGTAAATACACCCATTCCAAATGGGAGAAATTGGCCAAAGGAAGGGGCTACATTCCCCATGCGAGTCCAATATCCAGTAGGGCAGCCAAATCTTAAAGCTTCAAAATGATCTTTGACTCCATGTCTCATATCTCGGTCATGCTGATGCAAGAGTCGGGGTCCCATGGCCTTGGGCAGCTCCACCCTCGTGGCTTTGCAGTGTACAGCATCCCTCCTAGCTGCTTTCATGGGTTGGCATTGAGTGCCTGAGTATTCCAGGTGCATGGTGCAAGCCGTTTGTGGATCTACCATTTTAGGATCTGGAGGATGGTGGCCCTTTTCTCATGGCTCCACTAGGCAGTGCCCCAGTGAGGACTCTGTGTGGGAGCTCACACCCCACATTTCCCTTCTGCATTGCCCTAGTAGAAGTTCTTCATGAGGGTCCCACCCCTGCAGCAAACTTCTGCCTGGACATACAAGCATTTCCATACATCCTCTGAAATCTAGACAGAGGTTCCCAAACCTCAATTCTTGACTTCTGTGCCCCTACAGGCTCCACACCACATGGAAGCTGCCAAGGCTTGGGGCTTGCACCCTTTGAAGTCACAGCCCAAGCTATTTCTTGGCCCCTTTTAGCCATGGCTTCAGTGGCCCGGGAAGAAGGGCACTAAGCCTTTAGGCTGCATACAGCAGAAGGGCCCTCGGCTTACCTCATGAAAACATTTTTTTCCCTCTTAGGTCTCCAGTCCTGTGATAGGAGGGGCTGCCTGGAAGGTCTCTGACATACTCTGGAGACATATTCCCCATTGTCTTGGAGATTAATGTCTTAGAGATTAACATTTGGCTCCTCGTTACTTCTGCAAATTTCTACAGTTGGCTTGAATTTCTCCTTAGAAAGTGGGTTTTGCTTTCCCAGCACATCATCTGGCTGCGAATGTTTCAAACTTTTATGCTCTGCTTCCCTTTTAAACATAAGTTCCAATTCCAAACCATATCTTTGCAAATACATAAAAATGAATGCTTTTAACAGCACCCAAATCACTTCTGGAATGCTTTGCTGCTTAGAAATTTCTTCTGCCAGATGCCCTAAATCATCTCTCTCAAGTTCAAAGTTCCACAGATCTCTAGGGCAGGGGCAAGATGCCACCACTCTCTTCACTAAAACGCAGCAACAGTCACTTTTATTCCACTTCCCAACAAGTTCCTATCTTCATTCGAGATGAGCAGCATTTAGTCAAAGCCATTCAACAAGTCTCTAGAAAGTTCCAGATTCTATTTTCCTATCTTTCTCTAAGCCCTAAGAACTGTTCCAACCTCTGCATTTTACCCAGTTCCAACATCGCTTCCACATTTTTGGAGATCTTTACAGCAGCACTCCATTACTCAGTATAAATTTACTGCATTAGTCATTTCTCACACTGCTAATAAAGACATACTCAAGGCTGGGTAATTATATAGAACAAAAAAGATATTTAATAGACTCACAGTTCCACATGGCTGGGGAGGCCTCAGAATCATAGCAAAAGGCAAAAGAGGAGCAAGGACACGTCTTACATGGGTGCAGGCAAGAGGGTATGAGCAGAGGAATTCCCTTTTATAAAACCATCGGATCTCATGAGACATTCATTATCAAGAGAACAGCATGGAAAAAAAACAGCACCCATGATTCAATTACATCCCACCAGATACCTCCCATAACACATGAGGATTATTACAATTCAAGGTGAGATTTGAGTAGGGAAACAGAGACAGACCATATCACCAGCCTTCATGTTTGTCTTTCCCTCTTGAATGTGAGACCAAAGGGGAAAGGACCATGATATGTTTTGACTGAACCTCTGGCACCTAGAGCAATGTCGTCCGTATATGTTTGCTAAATGAATGACTAGATGCACTGCTTGAGGATTCTAACAAAAGATAAACTTAGCTAAATAATCTGCAAATAATCATCCTTGATTATTTTTCTAACCTTAAACATTTGTATTAATTATAATAATATCACTCATTATTTGCTTACCATTTGCCAGGCTATGTTCCATGCATTTTCCACATTTTCTCTCACTTAATGCTCAAAACTGTGTAGGTACATACTATTAATAAAATTATTTCACATACAGAGGAACCAATGCATAGGGAAGTTCATTATCTTGCCAAGGAAGGGAAGTTTAAAATGCTAAGTTCGACATTCTCATTCCAGAGCCTATGCTCTGGGCCTCTACAATGCAATTTCCCTCAAAAATAAACCCTCCAGGATGGGTGGGTGGCTCATGCCTGTAATCCTAGCAATTTGGGAGACCAAGGTGGGCACATTGCTTGAGCCTGGGAGCTGAAGACAAGCCTAGGAAACACAAGGAGACCCTGTCTTTACAAGAGATACAAATATTAGCTGGCCATGGTGGCATGTGCCAGTAATTGCAGCTACTCGGGAGGCTGAGTTGGAAGAATCATCTGAGCCTGGGAAGTGGAGGCTGCAGTGAGCCAAGGTCAAATAACTGCATTCCGGCCTGCACGACAGAATGATACCCTGTATCAGAAAAAAAAAAAAACAGAAAGAAAAAAGCAATGTGAAAAGAAGGACATTAAATAAGAAAAGCTTTAATTCTGGTGAAAAATGTTTCTATTTCTTAAAGCAAAAATGTTTCACAGGGACATACATTACCCACAACTTTCCCAAGAGCTATGAGGTGGGGTCAGGGGAACAGTGGTTCACATACTCCAAAGGTTGTGTTACTTTTCTCCGTCAAGCTTTCTAATGATTGAGAAACTCTTCACTGTGTGAATTTAATTGTACACATACTTTTTCAATCCTGTCTTACTCTCCAAGCCCCATTCCCCTCCTACCCTGATCTATCCAAGGGCTGGTGAAGAAAATTTCCCATGGATACACTACCTGATGCAGGCTACAGTTCTGATTCTTTAATGGGAAGAAAAATAAAGACATGCATATGCATGCACAGTGAGTATTTCCCAATACATGTACAGGCCCTGCCAAAAAGGAAGGCGAAGCATACTTTCAGTTTCAGTCACACAAGAAGGGAGGAGAGAAAAGCCATGGCCGGTGAGTCTTTTACTGTTCCAAGAACAGGTCCCTGGGAAGAAAGAGTTTTGGAAGGGGCTGGCTCTTCTGGAAGCCATAATTAGCATCTGTGGAAGTTTACTTGAGTAGAAGCAAGGAAAAGGGGGGAGAGGGAGGAGAGAAGGAACTAGAAGATTCTTGCAGACTTTAGAAAGGAAAGGCAAGCCCAGAAAGGAACTGAGGCTTTAGGGGAAGCCTGATGTCATTTTGCAATCTTAATTAAACTCTTACTTACATGTTGAAAGTCTGACAGAGGGTACAGAATTGGCACAGGAGGAGTACTAGCAGCAGTGGTTCCTAAATGAAATGGGCTATTTCTGCTTCATTACTTTATTAACCAGAGTTAAATAAACATGCGACATAAGAGGATGATCTCTGCTTTCCAGGGACTGATGTGGAAATGGTAAACTCAGTCTTCAGGTCACTCCATGCACATGTATGGAGACTATTGAGGGAAACAAGTAGGACAGCAATACAGTAAGAAGAGGGATTACCCAACTGTGAGGAGGGGGACATTTCACTGATGAAATCTAAATGAGGTCACTTTCTGTTGATTACATGAGAGGAATATGAGGCTGTTTTCATGATGTGAGAAATCCTTGTGCTCTAAACAGACAAGGTCCTGAAGGAGAAGAGAAAGCTGTTTATCCGTTCCATGGGTGAAGGTACAATAAATGGCTTACTGGATGAATTATTACAGACAAGGGTGCTGAACAAGGAAGAGATGGAGAAAGTAAAACGTGAAAATGCTACAGTTATGGATAAGACCCGAGCTTTGATTGACTCCGTTATTCCGAAAGGGGCACAGGCATGCCAAATTTGCATCACATACATTTGTGAAGAAGACAGTTACCTGGCAGGGACGCTGGGACTCTCAGCAGGTAAGGGTCAGTGACTTACACTCAAGTTCACCTAGGGCCTGTCTTCGTGCCTAACATTTGATTTCTTTACTAGTCATGTTAATTGGAAGAAAACTTTCTTATTTCTGGCTTCAGGGCCATATTTCTGTAGCAGGGTCCCTATTGCATGTCCCTTGACTCTCCTTTGATTCTTTTCCTTAATCCTCAGTGGCACTCTTCTGATTAAAGCTCATTTCCTGTTCTGAGTATGTGGTAGCTCCTTTACTGAAGCTCTTGAGAACCATCTGAAAAGCTTCATGCTGTGTTTTCCAGTGTTCCTGGCAAGGCAAAATATTTACCTGTGGATTTATTTTTGCTGAGTGCAAGGGGTCTGTAGGCACTTATGTAGTTGTAAAGTCACATGAAGCTTTAAGGTTTATAATCAAATACTTTTTATAACTTTTCTCCAAAATTTTACCCTCCCAAAAGAATAAAATATATTTCAATGATGGCGATACACTCAGAGAACACATTGAACGTATAGAAAAGTGAAGATTTCTAATGGGCTCATTCCTCCAGTTGCCTCCTTGTATTTTCTTTGAGTAAGATCACCTGGTTGCCTGTTACCAGGCTGTGGGTCATGCTGTGAGGCCTGGAAATCCTCCACTTGCAACCCTCCTCAGGCCCAATACAGGGCTCAGGAACTGAGCTGGCCAAATCTCATGACCACTTGGACCTACCACGTGGTGAGGATGAGAGTTCTGGTGGATTCCCAGTCATTGATGTCTGTGGCACTTCCTAAAGCCACTTCAGAGGGAGATGTTCTTTGAAAGCAAAAGCCTTCTGTTCTAAGGGTTAGGGAAAGCTTATGCCTGTCTAAGCAGACATTGCAGATGTTTCTGTTTTCATCTATGTGTAATAAACACGTATTTTTCTACCAATGCCTCTTTCATTTTCTACCTCCCACCACTCTCTAAATTAAAGAACATCTTTAACATTATTTAATGTCAGTCAGTCAGTCAGTGTTATGGGAGAAATTTTTAGTGGGGAGTGTTTTACAGATTGGGGTAAAGTTTTCCAGAGATGATAAGTGACTACTTCAATACCCTTTATCTTTTCATAGATCAAACATCTGGAAATTACCTTAATATGCAAGACTCTCAAGGAGTACTTTCTTCCTTTCCAGGTAATGCTGTTTTTAAAGGAAGAGCATTCTTTGACCCACATCTTCCTTGACATTAATTTTGTAGGATCAAACGTGGGTAAATGGGCTATGGAGAATTCTCATAGATTGGTCATATAATTTTCTTTTTGTAATCTATTCTGCTTTTGTAGAAACTGTTTCCACAGCTTCATTATCCACATTTATATTAAAAATTCTGAATCTGTGTCTCAAATCCTGATTACCCAAATAAGTACCAAACTTCATTATTTAAGCCTACTGAAATATTCACTCCCATCTCCCAGAGACACCTTATTCTAAACTTTCCCAGAGCTGAAAATGCTATACTTCCACACCCTGCTTCTCTTCCGGTTTTGTGTAACTTGGTTATTGGTGCCACCGTCACCAGTTGTTCAAACCAGGAACTTGAAACTCATATGGGACCCTTCCTTCTCATGCACCTCTAACATTCAACCCATGGCCAAGTTTTATGCAGGCTTTTCTCAAATTTGGAACCATCTCTCTATTTCTACTTCTATTATTTTATTAAAGAACCCCTATTCCCATAGTGCACTCTTAAACTTATATCTGAAAGCAATGTAGAGGCTAGGAATGCAAATTATTTATCAAGTTCAGATATTACTCTACTGAATTTATTAAGGTTGGGTATCATGAATATTTTCTTAAATGTTTCACAGCATGGGATATTCAATATATAAAGAAATACTGTATTCTCTACTATGAAAAAATAGCTCAAAAATAACCTAACTACTTCTAGTTTTTTTCTATTGTTTTCACACTTCTTTATGAAGAAATCCAACATTTTATCCAACAAATGATTATTCTATAATTTTTTCCAATATATCTATTCTAATTCGTTCTTCTCCACATCAGCACATTTCATGCTGCCTTTGTTTATCTAACTGATTGTATAACAATTTTTCAAATTTGTTTTTAAAATTAAATATTATTTTTTGCCTTAATAGCTTCTAAAAGATCCTCCACACATCTAGAAAACTTATTTCTATTTTAAAACAAAGGTTACATTAATTTCTTTAACAAGGACATCACATTGTTGGATTGTGTTGAACCTGTGATGAAATAAAAGGCTCAAGGATTTTCTCACATAAACTCTGTGAAAACATTTCCTCAAGTGTCTGTGCAATGAATGTTTAGTGCTATAAATCCATCTAGTGTGTACCTTGATTTTAGCATTTATCATTATATCTTCATTCTACTTCATATATTCAATATTCATGTCCTTTCATATGTATACATAGAAGGAAGAGATCCTGAAGGACAGGACAAAGATTCATTAAAAAATATTCCTAGTGCTTACTACCATGTATATTAAGTAAATAAATAAAAAGATAAACATGTATTTTAAAAAATATTTTAGTAGATTAAATTAAGACCTGATCCCATTAAATTTTATCCTAGGGTTTGAATATTTTGAAAAAAGTTTATATTCTTAACTATTTTATCTCACACATTTTTTGTTTTCTGAGTGTTTTATCAGGCATAGACTTTAAATTTTCCCTTTCTATGTTAGTATCTAAAATGCTTGTAGAAAGGCTGATCCTGAAATATGAAAGAAGATACTTGTAATGCATACCTGGAAATCTCTTGCTTGAAATGTGCTCCATTAGGAGCAAACTCACTCAGCTGTGTTAATGATGTAGATCAGGATTGTCCTCCTCAGAGTGCATTTCCTCTTCTGTGGCTTCATCCATAGGTGAGGCTGTAACAAACACAAAGTGGAACAAACAGGGATGCCACTGTTCATGATGTTCTTTGTCTCTTGCAGCTCCTCAGGCAGTGCAGGACAACCCAGCTATGCCCACATCCTCAGGCTCAGAAGGGAATGTCAAGCTTTGCTCCCTAGAAGAAGCTCAAAGGATATGGAAACAAAAGTCGGCAGAGGTGCCATGCTCAGAACCCAAGGATAGAGTGGGGTGAAAGAAACACTTCAGGCAGTTCTGAAATGCAGTGGCTTATTCTTAGAGCCAACCTCATTGAGCAGTTCTGGAGAATCATACTTCTGCTCCCCTTACATAAAGGATTTCTATATCCTAGAATCCCAGGTTTATAGAAAGAGGTCCAAATTGGATCCACTTCCGGGGTAAATAACATCAGTGATGACAGCTATTGAATGCTTATTAAGAATGGGCATTGTTCTAAGCATTTTGCACATGATAATATATAATTTTTAACCTTAAACACAACCCATTTTAGAGATCAAGAAGCTGAGACGGGATTGTTAAATATTTTTCCCAAAGAAAAACAATCAGAAATTGGAACAATCAGTTTTAGAATTCAGTCATTTTTGCTTCAAAGCTTGTGCATCTTTCAAAATCCTACCTATCAAGAACAACGAAGTCAGAAGCTCAGCTGCCATCTGGGCATTTGCAATGTCCATGCATACTCTTGAAGCAGCATTCAATTCTGTTCCCCCTTTTCAATGTATGGTTCATGGGGTTTGGTATCTTGATAGGACTAAGGAAGGGGAAGCTGTCATAAACCAGGAAGGGAAATATTTAATTGGAAAGAACAAGGCTGTTCATTCAAATTGCATTTCCTACAGATTTATCCAATAATGGACAAGTCAAGCCGCACACGTCTTGCTCTCATTATCTGCAATGAAGAATTTGACAGTATTCCTAGAAGAACTGGAGCTGAGGTTGACATCACAGGCATGACAATGCTGCTACAAAATCTGGGGTACAGCGTAGATGTGAAAAAAAATCTCACTGCTTCGGTAAGTTCTATTATACAACAGAAACAATGGTTATGCCCTTCGTATAACTGAATAATATTAGAAAGCTTGGTTGTAAGACCAAGAAATGTAATCTCTTGATAATCTAAAATACAAACTTGCCATGAGAGAGTGCTGGATACTACATGGTCCTTTGTAACATAAGAGTCATGCAGCACAAGCCTGGTATAACTGAATTGGGAAATGTTTTATTGACTCAGTAATGCCACTGTCTCTCTACAAGATAACTCTGGATGACTTCCTATAACACTTTCCTTCACCTTTCTTGAAACTAAGACTAAATTTTTTTTTGGCACCCTGTTGTTTGTCACGGAATTCCTTAAGAAACTCCTTAAGTATTTATTTATTGACTTTCCAAGGTACCATGATAGTTAATTACATAGTCGAAAATCAGTGATATGGTGTCTTTCAGGACATGACTACAGAGCTGGAGGCATTTGCACACCGCCCAGAGCACAAGACCTCTGACAGCACGTTCCTGGTGTTCATGTCTCATGGTATTCGGGAAGGCATTTGTGGGAAGAAACACTCTGAGCAAGTCCCAGATATACTACAACTCAATGCAATCTTTAACATGTTGAATACCAAGAACTGCCCAAGTTTGAAGGACAAACCGAAGGTGATCATCATCCAGGCCTGCCGTGGTGGTGAGTGCTGATGCCTTTGAGAACACCAGACAATCAAATACTATCCTACTCTGTATGCATCCAAGAATTTTTGGTTTCTTTTGGTTTGTCTTTTAATGTCAAAGAACACATACTGTCAGTATTCAAGAATGCAGCTTCTGTGAATTGAATGGCTGGTTGGTAGATATTTATTCCATATTTAAGCTTGAGATTTTGATGTTTGGAAATTTTTACAATTTGTTTGATGGTTAGAAAAGATAAACATTGTTGAAAAGATTGTAACTGAAATGCATGTGTCTATTTGCATGTGAATTAATGATAGAGCAAACACATTAATAAATATCATTGAACAGAGGCTAGGAGGAAAACATCTTCTCAGCCATTGGTAGTAGTAACAAATCAAACTGTGTCTTTCCAGACAGCCCTGGTGTGGTGTGGTTTAAAGATTCAGTAGGAGTTTCTGGAAACCTATCTTTACCAACTACAGAAGAGTTTGAGGATGATGCTATTAAGAAAGCCCACATAGAGAAGGATTTTATCGCTTTCTGCTCTTCCACACCAGGTAACAGGTTTCTACACAGGACATCTTTGTTGGGGCTATCAATAGAAAAAGTGACAATAACCCACTAGAGGTGGTGATTAACAACTCAAGACCAACTCAAGCTTTGTTCCAAGTTATACACAGAATTCCCTTTATCCAAGAGAGCAATTTTGCATATCTGTTCAATGCATTACTAATTAAAGAATTCATCTATGTTTCAAAATATTTTTGGAACTTTGAGCGATAGCAGAGAATTAAATGGAAGACGGTATGTGCTGTAGTACATTAGAATCTGACTCTGCATAGAAAATTCTGCCATGTTGAGATCATTCATTAGTCCAATTTGCCCAGACATCAAATATTTATAGGAGAAGAGTAAGAGCAAGATTCTGAAAAGCAGAACAGCAAGCGAGACACTTTGGGGCCCTAAATTAAAGTGGGTTTTACCTAGAAGCATGAAGTGTGTGAGACAGAATATATTTGAATTTTTCTAAACGTATGCTTTGGAGTAAGAATCTTGCTATTATTGACTGACCCAGACATTTAGTATTTTGTAAAACAGTTCCACTAGTTCCTCCTCGGGCTTTCCTTGAATTGCTGACTAATATGTGAATATAAATATTATTTTTCTAAGGATTTAATAAATTAATATATTTGAAATATTGGGCACGACACAAAATAAAGCACACATTAAAAAACTGCTATTATTTAAAATGTATATATTTGATAACTTAATTCAGTTACTTTTCTAAGCAAGGTTTAAATAAAAATTATTTAAATCCTTTCATTCACCACCTTTGGCAGTTTCCTGAGAGGACTTGCATTCTCTTGGTCACCTCTGGCCCAAAGGCCCTGTCTCTGCTCAAATAGTTAAGTTTTCTAAAATATTTTCTAAAATGAGATATCTTCTTTCAGAAGAAGCTTGGTTCTACATTGGGTTGAACATGCCCTGATGTAGAACTCAATAATTTTTTTTTCCCAATGATCAGAAACAATGACACTACCCAAAAACACCATATATTTTCAGCCTGAGTACGTATAGCAGAGTTTAATATTAGACAGAACTGTTCGTTAGTATCCTTTGATCCCAGCCTTCCACATGACATTCACCGCTCTCTAAGTAGCTCTTTGTAGGCCTCTGGCTTCTCATTATCAATCTGGCTGATTTATGTGTCTTTCTTTTCTTTCACTTTCCTTACTCCTACCTTCTAGATGACTGTCAGAAACTCCAATTCAGTTATCTATAACTTCCATGTTAAACCTATCTCCACATTCTGCTGTGCCAATCCCAACCACATCATAGTGATCTCCTGAAGAAAAATAATTATCTACTTCCTTAATTTCACAAAACATTTGCAAAGATATCTGTCTCCACGATATCTTTCACTTACTTCCTTTTACTAGAACAAGTCTCAGTTAAAGGCTTCATTTAGCTGAGATAGCTGGGTTTCTAAATAGAATTTTATTATCAATATATACTTTATGACCATTAGAACTGGCTAAAATGTGTCATTAAAGAATGTGTCTGTCATTACATACAGAGCTATTGCTGCTGCTTTTCTCTTATGACTTCCTTTGCATAATTTTATGCCTTCATTACTTCTGTGTCTACTATGTAATAAATTAATATTTTTCTTTAATATTTCTCTTCTTCATAAGAACTTTTTTCCTCCAATATACTGTGCTTATTTCCTTATCTACTCCTCCTAGATTTCTACTTTTGTTCTGTTTTATGATTTTTATAGTTAACTTTTTGTGTGTAAATATCTTACTGTCAATGTTATTTAATTTCGATTAATCTTTTATGAAGTACATAAATTGAGAATTTGATAATATAATTACCCCATGTAGACTGAGTATTGCATATCCTGGGTTATCTCAAACACTTGCGTGACCTCAGATACCTCTTGTGTATGGAGTTATTACCATCCCCTGTATAGCTAGCTGAGTCTATTAAATATCAGAATGCATAATTAACTTAAATCACAGTCAGTAATACCACTTTGGGAATGCACATTTAGATATTTCATTTCCAAATCCCAATCACTCCCCTCTACCCCATTCCGCCTTTTCCTTATTTGCTACTAAATTTATGATTTCAAACATCCCTCAGCTGGAGTATAAATACTAGGGTTTCTTCTCTTTCTTCAGGCAAGAGCCAGTCTTGAGATTTGAAATGTGCTTTATCCATAGATAATGTTTCTTGGAGACATCCCACAATGGGCTCTGTTTTTATTGGAAGACTCATTGAACATATGCAAGAATATGCCTGTTCCTGTGATGTGGAGGAAATTTTCCGCAAGGTAAGATGCTAGTGGATGCTATTTTCACTCTACTTCCCTGAATGCTTGGCTATTGCAATTGGAAGCATAGAAAGCAGATCCAGACAAGTTTATCTTCCAATAATGCTCTTCTTTCCAAAAGAGTTTTGGAGTTCTTTGGAGAGTGGACAAACCCAGGAGCCTAATCCAATCTATTAAGACCCACAGCCTTGAGAAAACAATCATTTAGTTTCACCCCGCTCCTGCCCTGCAGAGACAAATGAATGGACTCTAATTTACCTGTGTCTCTCATGGCTATTAGATCCAGCAGCAGATTTAAAATGCCCTGAGGAGGGTCATTCAATGCTTACATACATATATGGTTATACTTGTTGCAGATGGAAGTACTTTTTGTTTTTGTCACTTATTTTGCTATATTTGTTGTAGTTTTTTGGCATAACTCAAGAAATTCTTGAAAAAAAAAACTCAGCAAAAAAAAGGGCTACAGACTTTCCTTACTCTTTTAGGTTCGATTTTCATTTGAGCAGCCAGATGGTAGAGCGCAGATGCCCACCACTGAAAGAGTGACTTTGACAAGATGTTTCTACCTCTTCCCAGGACATTAAAATAAGGAAACTGTATGAATGTCTGTGGGCAGGTACATGTGTATGGTCGGGAGTGTGGGAAGGTTGAGGAAAGGGTACTGAAAGTCCATTTGAGTCAAGAACTCTAGGTTTACAGGCTGAGAATCCTTAATCCAAAAATTTGAATTTTGAAATGCTCTAAAATCCAACACTGTGTGAGCGCCCACATGATATTCAAAGGAAATGTTTATTGAAACATTTCAAATTATAGGTTTTTGGATTAGGGATGCTAAACCAGTAAGTATACAGCTGAATTCCAATATACAAAAATATCTGAAATTTGAAATACTTCTGGTAGCATGCATTTTGGATAAGGGATAATCAAGCCATATACAGAAAATACTGAAGTAATGCCTTTCTTCTGGTCAGTGCAGAGCACGTTGCTCTTCTCCCAAAGTTTTTCATTTAGACCCCTTTTGAGATTCATCTGATATTGGCCTAGAAGTGGCCGTAAGACTACAAACCCTCACTTTTGGATGTTTCTCTCCTTCACCTCAGCAGGGTATATTTAAACATAGCATGTGGTCTTTCCTTTTAAAATTGTGTATGTTCCCATTGGTGGTATAACTTTATAACTTGCATGTCTTTAACAAAATTCTTTCCTATGTTTTTTTTTTTAATTATTTCTTTTTCTCATAGGAAGTGAAGAGATCCTTCTGTAAAGGTTTTTGGAATTATGTCTGCTGAATAATAAACTTTTTTGAAATAATAAATCTGGTAGAAAAATGAAAACTTGTCCTCATTTTTCTCCCACACTGAAGAAACAGGGACTGGAACTTAGAGTGACTAAGGAATTTAGAGTGTTTGACTTAATCTGTCAGACCCAAACTGGCTATTGGCACCTTTCTTTCCCAGAACTTAAAGTAAAATAAAATATAAAAATTTAAAAAAGAAAATCAGACTTACAAACATAGCAATGTTATTAATTACTTTCTTGAACAAAAATTTATTTTGTGCCATTTTTAAAAAAAGAAAAATCGTTTGCTGGGCTTTCTGCTTTGGGGATGTGATATAAGTTACAGCAGGTATCTGACTTCAAATAATTTAGAGCTCAGCAGGAGAGACGGGGGAAGACAGCTAGTTATGACAGCGACAGTGTAGTGTGATAAAGAACTTTTCCCAAATCCCACAGTTTGCTACTGACAAATCCATGAACTTGCATGTTTCTACCCTTTGCAAAAGTATTTAAGACAAAGTAAGTTTTGAATCAACCCTCAGTAGTTCACAGACTTCTTGAAAAGATAAGACAGCCATCCAAAATGAAGCGCTTGGCAGATGGTGCCTGACACCCTGAAGAAACTCTAGGATGCATGGTGTGCACAGTGAAGTCCTGGCATGGTGCAGAGAAAACGAGTTTGGGGTGAAATCATGCACTCAGGGATGTTAAGATTTAGGGAGGATTCGAAGAACTACCCCTTACTTGCAAATATGTTTTTTTCTAATATTTAACAGATTAAATGAGAGTTAATTTCTGACTTCTTAAACACCTTCATAGTTGAACACATTACAGTCTCTCTCTCTCTCTCTTTTTTTTTTTTTTTACCTTTTATTAACTGTTTCTCTGGGCATATCTCTTCTGTGTTATCATGCATACTCTACTACAACCTGAGACTACATCTGTGATCAGTCTTTGCTCAGAGAATATCAAAAAGGAGAAGTGAATTGCCACCCTAAGTAAAAATTAACTGTTAAAGCAGTTTTAGTCAGTTGAAGAACAGCATTCCAGGAAGTAGATAAGAGGATTCCTTCAGAACTGTCTCCAATCAAAGCGTAAGATGACAGGGAGATGGGGAGGAGAAGACTCCATCATGATTCCTCAGCACAGTTTAAACAAGAAATACATTTATTGAATAAACAATCCTTTCCTTGTTTCTTTTTGCTGTTGTTGTTGACTTTGTTGAGTATCAGTTGGTTATAGGTGTGTGGCTTTATTTTGGGGTTCTCTATTCTGTTCCATTGGGCTTTGTGTCTGTTTTTTTTGTACGAATACCTTGCTGTTGTGGTTACTGTAGACTTCTAGCATAGCTTGAAGTCCAGTAATGTGATGCATCCATCTTTTTGAAAAGCAGTTTGGAGATTTACCAAATAACTAAAAAAAGAACTATCATTTGTCCAAGCATCCCATTACTGACTGAATCCTCAAAGGAAAATGTACTGTTCTATCAAAAAGACATGTGCTTTCAAATGTTTGTCGCAGCACTATTCACTGTAGCCAAAATAATAGAATCAACCCAGGTGTCCATCAATGGTGGATTGGATTTAAAAAAATGTGGTACACTGCTACTATGGAATGTTACACAGCCATAAAAATGAAACCCTGCCCTTTGCAGCAACATGGATGCAACTGGAGGCCATTATTCTAAGCAAATTAATGCAGAAACAGAAAACCAAATATCACATAATCTCACTTGTAAGTTCTAGCTAAATATTGTGTACACATGGACATAAAGACGGGAATAACAGACACAGGGAAATACCAGAGGGAGGAATGAAGGAAGAAGGCAAGAGCCGAAAAACTATGTACTGGGTGCTATTCTCACTACCTAGGTAATAGGTTAAATTGTACTACAAACCTCTGCATCACCTAATATACTCTTGTAACAAACCTGCATATGTACCCCTGAAACTCAAATAAAAATTGAAATGAAAAATAAAGAAACCCAAGATATACAAAATATTTGGTTAATTCTTATGGGAAGATGCAAGGAAACTAGTTAGATTTTACTCATTCAGGACATGTGTTTTTAGACGAGCAGAGGTAGAAAAACTGACAGATCAGAAGAGAGGGATGAATAAAAGAAGATGTGGGGCTATGGAGAGAGAAAAGGAAAAAGAAAACCAGGCTGAGGTTTCAACCCACAAAACAATGTTTTGTCATTTGCATTTTTTTTCCCCAGGGAAGAATCTAGAGTTCAAGAATAGAAAGCCAATTTGCTTACTACAGGGCACTTCCCAATGATGAAACTATAGGTTCCCAGAAGCAACTTCCCATAATCTGTAATCACTTGTCCCCACTCCCTGCAATAAGGAAGTACCTAGTGTATTTTATCTCTGAGTCTGAGGCACTTTCCAGTGCTGTACAAAGAGACAGAGGCTGTTAGCTATGGCTGGTGAGTCTGGGCCCTTTTCTGACTAGCAGCTGGGTACTCAGGTCTTAGAAAAATCTTGATTTATTGCTATGTGACAGGCAGAAATACCAAAAGGGAAATCAACCAATAGTGTGCATGCTGAATCTTTCTCTTATTGGTGGTATGTAGTTTGAATCCTGAGACTGTGTAGAGACACTGAAGGAGAGTATGTTCTCTAGATGTTTTCAAGCCAGAAAAAGGTTAATTCCTTTCTTTCAGCTTCTGGTAATCAAAGAGAGAGTAAGGAAAGACAGAGTAAGTTATTTGTGTGAGAAAACTCCGGAAATTTCTAAATGCACTCTGAAATCTTCTCTGCTTCCTCTTGATTCCAAATTAATCCTCCAGACTATGAACCTTCTCCCCACAATCAGATCTGAGAGCCTCTGTGTTCTCAACGTGTTGTCATCTCTTATCTTGAATTATCTTATTGGTCTGTTTAAAGTGATTGCATTTTTCCACCTTTCTATGTAGTCCTGGTACTAACTCTTATAATGTAATATATCTTAGGTTGCTATCATAGACTTTTAACTGTCTTCCCACTCCCAAAAACTTAACCCTTCAGTCCATACTGCACACTACTTTCAGGCCAACTGTCTTATACACAGAAGCTAAAAAAGCCTATGAGTTGGAGTCCTGGGCTACTTAAGCAGCTCGTATTCCAGCAGGTCATATTGCGTCTTTGGTTTCATTCTCCTCACTGGAAAAAGGAAGAAACTGGAATAGATCAGTGCTTTCTAAACCTTATAACATATATGAATAATCTGCAGTCTTTTTTTTTCTTTAATTTATTTATTTATTATTATTATACTTTAAGTTTTAGGGTACATGTGCACAATGTGCAGGTTAGTTACATATGTATACATGTGACATGCTGGTGGGCTGCACCCACTAACTCGTCATCTAGCATTAGGTATACCTCCCAATGCTATCCCTCCCCCCTCCCCCCACCCCACAACAGGCTCCAGAGTGTGATGTTCCCCTTCCTGTGTCCATGTGTTCTCATTGTTCAGTTCCCACCTATGAGTGAGAATATGCGGTGTTTGGTTTTTTGTTCTTGTGATAGTTTACTGAGAATGATGATTTCCAATTTCATCCATGTCCCTACAAAGGACATGAACTCATCATTTTTTATGGCTGCATAATATTCCATGGTGTATATGTGCCACATTTTCTTAATCCAGTCTATCATTGTTGGACATTTGGGTTGGTTCCAAGTCTTTGCTATTGTGAATAATGCCACAATAAACATACGTGTGCATGTGTCTTTATAGCAGCATGATTTATAGTCCTTTGGGTATATACCCAGTAAAGGGATGGCTGGGTCAAATGGTATTTCTAGTTCTAGATCCCTGTGGAATCGCCACACTGACTTCCACAATGGTTGAACTAGTTTACAGTCCCACCAACAGTGTAAAAGTGTTCCTATTTTTCCACATCCTCTCCAGCACCTGTTGTTTCCTGACTTTTTAATGATTGCCATTCTAACTCGTGTGAGATGGTATCTCATTGTGGTTTTGATTTGCATTTCTCTGATGGCCAGTGATGGTGAGCACTTTTTCATGTGTTTTTTGGCTGCATAAATGTCTTCTTTTGAGAAGTGTCTGTTCATGTCCTTCGCCCACTTTTTGATGGGGTTGTTTGTTTTTTTCTTGTAAATTTGTTTGAGTTCATTGTAGATTCTGGATATTAGCCCTTTGTCAGACGAGTAGGTTGCGAAAATTTTCTCCCATTTTGTAGGTTGCCTGTTCACTCTGACGGTAGTTTCTTTTGCTGTGTAGAAGCTCTTTAGTTTAATTAGATCCCATTTGTCAATTTTGGCTTCTGTTGCCATTGCTTTTGGTGTTTTAGACATGAAGTCCTTGCCCATGCCTATGTCCTGAATGGTAATGTCTAGGTTTTCTTCTAGGGTTTTTATGGTTTTAGGTCTAACTTTTAAGTCTTTAATCCATCTTGAATTAATTTTTGTATAAGGTGTAAGGAAGGGATCCAGTTTCAGCTTTCTACATATGGCTAGCCAGTTTTCCCAGCACCATTTATTAAATAGGGAATCCTTTCCGCATTGCTTGTTTGTCTCAGGTTTGTCAAAGATCAGATAGTTGTAGATATGCGGCATTATTTCTGAGGGCTCTGTTCTGTTCCATTGATCTATATCTCTGTGTTGGTACCAGTACCATGCTGTTTTGGTTACTGTAGCTTTGTAGTATAGTTTGAAGTCAGGTAGTGTGATGCCTCCAGCTTTGTTCTTTTGGCTCAGGATTGACGTGGCAATGCGGGCTCTTTTTTGGTTCCATATGAACTGTAAAGTAGTTTTTTCCAATTCTGTGAAGAAAGTCATTGGTAGCTTGATGGCGATGGCATTGAATCTGTAAATTATCTTGGGCAGTATGGCCATTTTTCACGATATTGATTCTTCCTACCCATGAGCATGGAATGTTCTTCCATTTGTTTGTACCCTCTTTTATTTCCTTGAGCAGTGGTTTGTAGTTCTCCTTGAAGAGGTCCTTCACATCCCTTGTAAGTTGGATTCCTAGGTATTTTATTCTCTTTGAAGCAATTGTGAATGGGAGTTCACTCATGATTTGGCTCTCTGTTTGTCTGTTGTTGGTGTATAAGAATGCTTGTGATTTTTGTACATTGATTTTGTATCCTGAGACTTTGCTGAAGTTGCTTATCAGCTTAAGGAGATTTTGGGCTGAGACAATGGGGTTTTCTAGATATACAATCATGTCGTCTGCAAACAGGGACAATTTGACTTCCACTTTTCCTAATTGAATACCCTTTATTTTCTTCTCCTGCCTGATCGCCCTGGCCAGAACTTCCAACACTATGTTGAATAGGAGTGGTGAGAGAGGGCATCCCTGTCTTGTGCCAGTTTTCAAAGGGAATGCTTCCAGTTTTTGCCCATTCAGTATGATATTGGCTGTGGGTTTGTCATAGATAGCTCTTATTATTTTGAAATACATCCCATCAATACCTAATTTATTGAGAGTTTTTAGCATGAAGCGTTGTTGAATTTTGTCAAAGAACTTTTCTGCATCTATTGAGATAATCACGTGGTTTTTGTCTTTGGTTCTGTTTATATGCTGGATTATATTTATTGATTTGCGTATATTGAACCAGCCTTGCATCCCAGGGATGAAGCCCCCTTGATCATGGTGGATAAGCTTTTTGATGTGCTGCTAGATTCGGTTTGCCAGTATTTTATTGAGGATTTTTGCATCAATGTTCATCAAGGATATTGGTCTAAAATTCTCTTTTTTGGTTGTGTCTCTGCCCGGCTTTGGTATCAGGATGATGCTGGCCTCATAAAATGAGTTAGGGAGGATTCCCTCTTTTTCTATTGATTGGAATAGTTTCAGAAGGAATGGTACCAGTTCCTCCTTGTACCTCTGGTAGAATTCGGCTGTGAATCCATCTGGTCCTGGACTCTTTTTAGTTGGTAAGCTTTTGATTATTGCCACAATTTCAGATCCTGTTATTGGTCCATTCAGAGATTCAACTTCTTCCTGGTTTAGTCTTGGGAGAGTGTATGTGTCCAGAAACTTATCCATTTCTTCTAGATTTTCTAGTTTATTTGCGTAGAGGTGTTTGTAGTATTCTCTGATGGTAGTTTGTATTTCTGTGGGATCGGTGGTGATATCCCCATTATCATTTTTTATTGCGTCTATTTGATTCTTCTCTCTTTTTTTCTTTATTAGTCTTGCTAGCGGTCTATGAATTTTGTTGATCCTTTCAAAAAACCAGCTCCTGGATTCATTAATTTTTTGAAGGGTTTTTTGTGTCTCTATTTCCTTCAGTTCTGCTCTGATTTTAGTTATTTCTTGCCTTCTGCTAGCTTTTGAATGTGTTTGCTCTTGCTTTTCTAGTTCCTTTAATTGTGATGTTAGGGTGTCAATTTTGGATCTTTCCTGCTTTCTCTTGTGGGCATTTAGTGCTATAAATTTCCCTCTACACACTGCTTTGAATGCATCCCAGAGATTCTGGTATGTTGTATCTTTGTTCTCGTTGGTTTCAAAGAACATCTTTATTTCTGCCTTCATTTCATTATGTACCCAGTAGTCATTCAGGAGCAGGTTGTTCAGTTTCCATGTAGTTGAGTGGTTTTGAGTGAGATTCTTAATCCTGAGTTCTCGTTTGATTGCACTGTGGTCTGAGAGATAGTTTGTTATAATTTCTGTTCTTTTACATTTGCTGAGGAGTGCTTTACTTCCAACTATGTGGTCAATTTTGGAATAGGTGTGGTGTGGTGCTGAAAAAAATGTATATTCTGTTGATTTGGGGTGGAGAGTTCTGTAGATGTCTATTAGGTCCGCTTGGTGCAGAGCTGAGTTCAATTCCTGGGTATCCTTGTTGACTTTCTGTCTCGCTGATCTGTCTAATGTTGACAGTGGGGTGTTAAAGTCTCCCATTATTAATGTGTGGGAGTCTAAGTCTCTTTGTAGGTCACTCAGGACTTGCTTTATGAATCTGGGTGCTCCTGTATTGGGTGCATATATATTTAGGATAGTTAGCTCTTCTTGTTGAATTGATCCCTTTACCATTATGTAATGGCCTTCTTTGTCTCTTTTGATCTTTGTTGGTTTAAAGTCTGTTTTATCAGAGACTAGGACTGCAACCCCTGCCTTTTTTTGTTTTCCATTTGCTTGGCAGATCTTCCTCCATCCTTTTATTTTGAGCCTATGTGTGTCTCTGCATGTGAGATGGGTTTCCTGAATACAGCACACTGGTGGGTCTTGACTCTATCCAATTTGCCAGTCTGTGTCTTTTAATTGGAGCATTTAGTCCATTTACATTTAAAGTTAATATTGTTATGTGTGAATTTGATCCTGTCATTATGATGTTAGCTGGTTATTTTGCTCGTTAGTTGATGCAGTTTCTTCCTAGTCTCGATGGTCTTTACATTTTGGCATGATTTTGCAGCGGCTGGTACCGGTTGTTCCTTTCCATGTTGAGTGCTTCCTTCAGGAGCTCTTTTAGGGCAGGCCTGGTGGTGACAAAATCTCTCAGCATTTGCTTGTCTGTAAAGTATTTTATTTCTCCTTCACTTATGAAGCTTAGTTTGGCTGGATATGAAATTCTGGGTTGAAAATTCTTTTCTTTAAGAATGTTGAATATTGGCCCTCATTCTCTTCTGGCTTGTAGAGTTTCTGCCGAGAGATCTGCTGTTAGTCTGATGGGCTTCTCTTTGAGGGTAACCTGACCTTTCTCTCTGGCTGCCCTTAACATTTTTTCCTTCATTTCAACTTTGGTGAATCTGACAATTATGTGTCTTGGAGTTGCTCTTCTCGAGGAGTATCTTTGTGGCATTCTCTGTATTTCCTGAATCTGAATGTTGGCCTGCCTTGCTATATTGGGGAAGTTCTCCTGGATAATATCCTGCAGAGTGTTTTCCAACTTGGTTCCATTCTCCCCGTCACTTTCAGGTACACCAATCAGACGTAGATTTGGTCTTTTCACATAGTCCCATATTTCTTGGAGGCTTTGCTCATTTCTTTTTATTCTTTTTTCTCTAAACTTCCCTTCTTGCTTCATTTCATTCACTTCATCTTCCATCGCTGATACCCTTTCTTCCAGTTGATCGCATCGGCTCCTGAGGCTTCTGCATTCTTCACGTAGTTCTCGAGCCTTGGTTTTCAGCTCCATCAGCTCCTTTAAGCACTTCTCTGTATTGGTTATTCTAGTTATACATTCTTCTAAATTTTTTTCAAGGTTTTCAACTTCTTTGCCTTTGGTTGAATGTCCTCCCGTAGCTCGGAGTAATTTGATCATCTGAAGCCTTCTTCTCTCAGCTTGTCAAAGTCATTCTCCATCCAGCTTTGTTCCGTTGCTGGCGAGGAACTGCGTTCCTTTGGAGGAGGAGAGTCGCTCTGCTTTTTAGAGTTTCCAGTTTTTCTGCTCTGTTTTTTCCCCATCTTTGTGGTTTTTTCTACTTTTGGTCTTTGATGATGGTGATGTACAGATGGGTTTTTGGTGTGGATGTCCTTTCTGTTTGTTAGTTTTCCTTCTAACAGACAGGACCCTCAGCTGCAGGTCTGTTGGAGTACCCGGCCGTGTGAGGTGTCAGTCTGCCCCTGCTGGGGGGTGCCTCCCAGTTAGGCTGCTCGGGGGGTCAGGAGTCAGGGACCCACTTGAGGAGGCAGTCTGCCCGTTCTCAGATCTCCAGCTGCGTGCTGGGAGAACCACTGCTCTCTTCAAAGCTGTCAGACAGGGACATTTAAGTCTGCAGAGGTTACTGCTGTCTTTTTGTTTGTCTGTGCCCTGCCCCCAGAGGTGGAGCCTACAGAGGCAGGCAGGCCTCCTTGAGCTGTGGTGGGCTCCACCCAGTTCGAGCTTCCTGGCTGCTTTGTTTACCTAAGCAAGCCTGGGCAATGGTGGGCGCCCCTCCCCCAGCCTCGCTGCTGCCTTGCAGTTTGATCTCAGACTGCTGTGCTAGCAATCAGCGAGACTCCGTGGGCGTAGGACCCTCCGAGCCAGGTGCAGGATATAATCTGATGCGCCATTTTTTAAGCCGGTTGGAAAAGCGCAGTATTCGGGTGGAAGTGACCCGATTTTCCAGGTGCCGTGTGTCACCCCTTTCTTTGACTAGGAAAGGGAACTCCCTGACCCCTTGCGCTTCCCGAGTGAGGCAATGCCTCGCCCTGCTTCGGCTTGCACACGGTGCACGCACCCACTGACCTGCGCCCACTGTCTGGCACTCCTTAGTGAGATGAACCCGGTACCTCAGATGGAAATGCAGAAATCACCCGTCTTCTGCTCGCTCACGCTGGGAGCTGTAGACTGGAGCTGTTCCTATTCGGCCATCTTGGCGCCTCCCCCTGCAGTCATATTTAAAAATCAGATTACCACTGCATTCCCAACCCTGAATAGCTCAATCTTTAACAGACTGTAGGCATTTATTAACCTTTAAAGATCTGCAGACAATTCTTATGAAGCTAGCCTGGCACAGGTTCTTCTGCAGGTTAGCATCATTAGCAAAGGTGGTCAGTTAGTTAACTCTCACCTCTCACATGCTAGGGATCTATTAATGTAATTTTCTTACTCAGCAACATACATTGGCTCCCTATTGCCTTTTTAAAAATATCTAAACTTTCAGATAGTGTTTTAGATGGTGTTTCTGTCTTTCAAAATATACTTATTCATTTTTCCATTAATCACTCTAAGGCACGATTTTTACGTTCATAAGAAAAAGAAGCAAATGTTTACTGTATTTTACTTCACTTGTACTTCCTTGCTGTTGAGTTTCTTTATTCGATTCTCCCACTAGCTTAATTATCTCCAAGGTTTACATCTCACCTCACAACATTTAACTGAAACTCCTAAAATGCAGGAATTGCTTGCTTTTAAATTTTTTTTTTTTTTGTCTATTTTATGATACTAAAAAGCATTTGGCCAGGGAGGAGTAAGTCAAATTCATAGCCATGGCTGCCTCTTTGGCCGGGCAGGCTGACTTTACTGGTCGTAGACTGGAGTCAGGAGAATCATTAGATAATAGATAGGAGAAATTGAAGAGCACTAATCAAAAATAAGTTAAGTGGGTTAATAATTATAAACAACCATGTGTAGTTGGTCTTTGTTAAATAAAACTAGTGAAAAACAGTATCCTATATAAAATGTGTAAGAACATCACATCACTTTGCCTAGGACCAAAACTGCTCTTGATGAATTTGGCCTCTAAATTATTCCATTCGTTTTTATTATCACTGCATCTTCAATTCATTGATTACTAAAATAACAAAAAGTAATCAATAAAAACTGTTTTTTAAAAATAATACTGTGTGATCGGTATCTCTTGCACTCTCTGTGACTGAATATTTAAAACCAGTCAGTTAAGTTTGTGCTATTATTGCCATTTTATAGTTGAGGAAGGTGTCTAGAAAAGGACTACGAAATTTTCTTTTGGTCTAATGTCTGTTGAGAAGAGTGAATCTAGGTTGGCCTGACTCTTAAACTCAACACTCTAATGTTCTGTCAATTTTCTGCAAACAAACATCTTCAAATGATGGCCCTATCTCATCACGCCCACTTCAGTCCTGGCTGCACACTTCAATACTTTCTAAAGCCCAGCTAGCCCAGCTTCCTGATTACTTTAGACACCCTAAAATCTTTGTGTTTCTTCCCACACTGCTCTCTGTTAGGGGACCAGCCCTCACTTGTCCAAGGGGCAAATTCCTCCTAGTCTTTCAGGTCTCAGTGCCAAGCCCTCCCTTCTCTGGACAGCTATCTTCTACCTGAAACACAGTGTGCTCATGCTTTTTTTTGAGCATCTGCTCGTTATTTAAATTCTTACAATGTTTTTTATTTGATGTATTTGCATATCTATCTTTCCACTTGACTGTAAGCTTGAACATGTAAGAACATTTCCTCAAAATGGTACCCTCACAACTAGCAGAGTATTTTTCACAAACTTTTGCTCACCAAATTTTCCAGAATGAATATGCCTTCCTTCTGCTTAAAACTTCCAGTGTGTGCTTATTGTCTATTAAATAAAATCAAACTTACTTACCTTTTATTAAATATTCTTCAAGAGTTGGGCCATACCTAAAATTTATTCATTTGTTTCTACATTCACTCAACTAGTGATTCAGTAGATAATTATTAGACTTCCCTTGAGTGCCAGAAGTAGTGCAGGCCTAGTTTATGGCCACCTATCCTCACAGAGCATAAAATCTAATGGTGGATGCTGAGAATTAGGCTGGAAATCACAATTAAAGGTAAAAAACTATGCTACCCTAAAGAGAAACAAGGTGCCCTAGGGGCATGTACCTCTGACATTGTCTCCCCTCAGAGAATCAGAGGATTGCCTGAAAAAAAAAAATGCCATCTGGTCTTAGACTTGGAGAATGAACAGAAAGTATAGGAGAATAGGAAGCAAGGAGAAGGTGGGAGACTGGACTAGACATTAAATGAAGAGCAGAATATTTTAATTGTAATGAGCAAGGTGGGGACAGTATCAGAAGATGAGGCTGAATGAGAAGGCCTAGGTTAGAATAAGCTGAGACGTTTCATGGTCAAATCTAGATATAGGAACACTCTTTATTGTGAAGAATAGAATAGAAAGGACAAAAAGAAGGTTTATAAGGTTCTTGGTGTAATTCAGAAAGAAAGGGTGTTGGCCTGAATAGAAGTAATGAACAATTAAAATTAAGAGTAGTGGTCAGATTCTGAAAATGTTTAGTAAATAAAATCAATGCAGTGTGAATTGAGTTGGGGAATAAGACATACAGAAGGCAGAAGAAGTTTAATATCACCAGGTTTTGCTGCCTTCCCGCACTTGGAAGTTAGGTATTATTTTTTACTATATGGAGGAGCAAATGAAGGATGGAAATAGAAGAAAATTAGCAGTTCAATTTTAAAAGTTCAATTGAATGAGGTTGTGGGAGTATTTTAAGTGACGTCTCATTTTTGGACGTATGGGTTTCCATACGGGATCCACATCTGGGCTGATCCATAAATTTGAGTCATTTATTTATTATTTTAAACTTATAATTGATGCTATGAGAATTTATAGATTATGAAAAGAGGCTCTCAAGCCAAATGTCTTGAATTGTTTTTTATAAATATTATTTTATTTATTTAATTGGCAAATAAATATTTTATGTACTTATGTACAAAATGATGTTTGAAATATATATTGTAGAATGCCTAAAGAGCTAAATAACATATGCATTACCTCATATGCTCATCTTTTTTTGTGATTACAGCACTTAAAATTTACACTGTCAAACAATTTTCAAGAATTCATCATTGACTATAGTCACTATGTGGTGCAATAGATTTCTTAAACTTACTTCTCCGATCTAATTGAAATGTTGTTTCCTTTGATCAACATCTCCCCAAACTTCCTGCCTCCTCCTAATCACCACCATTCTACCCTCTGCTTTTATGTGTTTAACTTTTGTGAGTCTACACATCAGTGAGATCATATAGTATTTGTTTTTTGGTGCCCAGCTTGGCTTATTTTATTTAATGTAATGTTATCCATGTTAATCAATGTTGTCACAAATGACAAGATTTCTTTCTTTTTTCTAAAGCTGAATACTGTTGCATTATGATACTTTCTCCATCCATTCATCCATCTACAGATACTTAGGTTGATTTTATATCTTGCCTATTGTGAATAATGCTGCAATCACAATGGAAGTGTATATGTCTTTTCAACACACTGACTTAATGTTTAAAATATATACTAAATATTTGGGCTGCTACATCATTTTTAACATTTTTAATTCATTTTAATTTTTAACTTTTTGAGGAGTTTCCTATTGTTTTTCATTATGACTGTACTAATTTATATTTTCACCAACAGTATACAAGAGTTCCTTTTTCTCTACATCCTTTCCAACACTTGTTATCTTTTTTTTTTATAATACCCATTCTAATCATTCTAACAGGTGTGAGGCATTATCTCATTGTGGTTTTAATGTCCCTGGTGATCAGAGATGTTGAGCATTTTGTATAGACCTGTTGTCCATTTATGCATCTTCCTTTGAAAAATGTCTATTTTGGTCCTTGGCTCATTTTGTAATATTTGTTTTCTTCCTATTGAATTGTGTTTCTCATATATTTTGAATATTAATATCTTATCAGACATATGGATTCAAATATTTACTCCTATTCTGTTGGTTATCTCTTCACACTGTTGTTTCCTTGGCTTTGCAAAAGCTTTTTAGTTTGATGTAATCTCATATCTTAATTTTGCTTTCTTTTCCCATATTTTTAGTGTTATATCCAAAAATCATTGTCTATACCAGTGTCATTAAGCTTTTCCACGTTTTTGTGTAGTAGTTTCAAAGTTTCAGTTATTAGGCTTATGTTTTTAATCCATTTTGAGTTGATTTTTGTATATGGTGGCAGATAAGGGCCCGTTTTCATTCTTCTGCTCTTGGATATTTAATTTTCCCAACATCATTTATCGAAGAAAGTGTCCTTAGCCTATTGTCTGTTCTTGAAACTTTGTCAAAAATAAATTTACTGTAAATAACTGGGTTTATTTCTGGCCTTTTTGTTTTATTCCATTGATCTCTGTGTTTGCTTTTATGCCAGTACTATGTTTGATTATTATAACTTTGCAGTATGTTTTAAAGTCAGGTTGTGTGCTGCCTCCAGTTTTGTTCTTTACTCAAGGATGCTTTGGCTATTTGAATTTTTAAATAATTCCATATGAATTTTAAGGTTGATTTTCCTATTTCTGTAAAAAATGCCATTGGAGGCTTAATAGGAATTGTATTGAATTCATAGATTTCTTGGGTAGTATAGACATAATAATGTAATATTTTCCAATTCATGAACACGGGATATCTTTTGATTTTTGTGAATCTCAGGCATTTTCTTCTGTCAATGTTTTATAGTTATGAGTATATACATCTTTAACTTTTTGGTTACATTTATTCCTTATTATTTCATGAAATTTTTTTATAGCCATTATAAATGAGATTTTTATCATCCAATTTTTTAGTTTGTTGTTATAAAAATGATACTAATTTTTGCATGTTGTTTTTGTATCCTTCAACTTTACTGCATTTGTGTATTAGTTCCAACAGATTTTTCATGGAGCATTTAGGGTTTTCTTAATATATGTAAGATCATGTCATTCATAAACAGGACACATTAACTTCTTCCTCTCCTATTTTGATGCCTTTAAATTCTTTCTGTTGTCTAATTCCTCTGGTTAGGATTTCTAGAATAGAAGCGGTGAAAGTGGGTGTGTTTGTCCTCTTCCTAATCTTTGAAGAAAAGCTTTTATCTTTTCACCATTGAGTATGATGTTAACTGTGTGTTTTCTATAAGTGGCATTTATTGTGTTGTAAACCTCTTTAGGTTAATTGCTTTTCACATGTCTCCACATATTCATTCAGTCAAAACTATATTCATTTACTAAGCATGCAAGTAAGTTAAATAGAACTTCAGAACTCAGGCAGAGTAGACATTCCATTAACTAATCTGTGTACTCTTTGCAAATCTTCACATTCCCTGTTCCAACATCTACATTGCATTTAAAACCAACGTTTTTGTCTTGTCTTCTAAGAAGCCTCTGTAAACTCTCCTCCTGGAATTTTCTCATCTTTTCTGAGTTCCTTAAGCATCTTATCTGTGTTCTCTTAAGAAGCTCTTCAACAACTATCATGTAATGTAGTTTCATGACTTAAGAGTTGGGGCTCTGGATTCTGATCACTTGTACTTCTATTCCTGCTCCGGAGTTACTGTATACTTCATTTTCTTTTCACAGGATTACACTCAATTTCTTAAGTAACTTATCTGTATATGTTTCCTTTTCCATATAAAAGAGGTTAATATACATTTTGCATGGAGTTTTTGTGAAATTTCAGTAAAGCACTTGACCTCATGGGGGTTCAACATATATTATTATTACTGAAAGCCTGTCATGGTTAACTCTATGGAATGTGGTGTAAAAATAGGATTTGAACCCTAATTCATGTGATTTAGGGCAGCCTATTATTTAAATGACTTATAAAATTGATAAAATAATAAATATTCTACTGGTTTATTGTGAGAGTCCAGTATACTACTATTTGTAAAGTACTTAGAAGAGAGACTTGTAAATAATAATGATTATTACTGATATGATATAATAATAATAATGATAATTACTGATTTATTATATCAGTATAATGATAATTACTGATTTATTATATCAGTATAATAATGATAATTACTGATTTATTATATGAGTATAATAATAATGATAATTACTGATTAAATCATTATAATAATGATAATTACTGATATTGTTAATAATAATGATAATTACTCATGATATAATGATGATTGTCATTGCTTTATGTGAATTCATTTTTTAATCACAAAAAATACATAGGAGATGTTACATTTATTAAATGTAACTTTTTGTCCTGTTTTGTAACTTCCATGTGTCTTTCTAATAATGGTTGGTTCATTATTGGCATATGAACTCAAGATAACCTGGAAAATGAGTCTGGTGCTTCTAGGCCAAAATTTTGTTCAATGTCCTGACATGTTTTCTTTAGAAAATGTATTTTGTGTGAAAGCTATCCTTATATTTAGATAAACTAGATAATGATCTTTATAGAGTTAACAGAAGAGAGGAGATATCTGGCTTTTCCACATACAACCTGCTTAAATCATATCTCTTGTATTGAAATAAGTGATTTATTACTTTGATATATATATGTGTGTGTGTGTGTGTATGTGTGTATATATATATGTGTATATATATGTATATATGTGTATATATATGTGTGTATATATATGTATATATATGTGTATATATATGTGTATATATATATGTGTATATATATATGTGTGTGTATATATATATATACGTGTGTATATATATATATATACGTGTGTGTGTGTATATATATATATATATATATATATATATATATATATATGTGTGTATATATATATCTCCTGGTAAAAATCTGAATTATACCAAGGAGTAATACATTAACTCAGTATTATATTAATCTACCATAATATTTGTTAAATATTTTCAATTCTAAATTTTGGTTTGAGAAAAGGCGCTGAAGAATTAGGTATCTAGATGCATTTATCCACTTAATGATTAAGTTGGATGTTTACTTATGTATTCAGCAAGCAGATTAAGCACTTTTAAGCATTTTGAGCAGAAAATTGTTAATTAGCACAATTGGGTATAGCTTGTGTGTTAAAAAACACAAATTCAAAGATATAGTTAATTCACCAAGGAAGCTAAATACAGAGAAAAGGAAAGATCCTGCAGTCTAGTAGGAATAATTTACAGTCTAGACAAGAGAATGGACTGTCCTGGGTGCACACACTTCAGGTAGGTCATCATGAGTTTGAGCAAGAGAGAGAAATCTGAATACAATGGATGACCAGGAATTTAGCATTAGGCCCAATGCTGCAGAAAGGAAAAAGACAAGCTATAAAAAACAAACTTAAGTGGCAATGAATTGTTAAACACAGCCTGGTAGGAATTTGATGGGTGAGAGAATGCTACAGGTACAAAGAAATAATGAGTATTTGTTGAAGACATGGTAAGACAGAATGTATTTTCAAGGGTGTTTCACATTACAGAGCTTTGTCTAAAGCAAGGGCAAAACTCTTTAAGCTGTGCCCAGAGTTGAAGGAGTCTTTATATTTCTGATAGAAGACAGTGGCAAAAAAAAAAGGCGTAAGAATTTTGAAGCTATGTTCAAAGGTATCCTTCAGAGTGGATTGGATAACTTCGTGATAAACCACATGCTAAAGAACAACGTGGCTGGACAAACATCTATCCAGACCCTAGTACCTAATACGGATCAAAAGTCGACCAGTGTAAAAAGTAAGACTGGATATTTTACAATGGATATTTCCAATTTTTTAGAATCTGTTCAATTATAAGTCCCATGCAGTGACTTCTGTGATCCCCCTATCCTCCTTCCTTTATGAAACTATCATTTTCACCAAACCTATAATTTTTCCTTCAGGGACTACCTTGTCTTTTGTGGGGTGGGATCCAGTTTCCAATCGGCTAAAAGGCTGAGTCCTTGGGTTCAGATTGTGCATGGAAATAATTAATAGTAGAGGCTTGTAGTAAGACATATTCAAACCTAAATCTAGATTCTGTTACTAATAATCTGTGTGGCTTCCTGCATGTATCTTAACCTCTCTTGCTCCCTAATCATCAGTCTTACCATCTATGAAATGGGGACAATTTCAGTACTTTCTCACAAGACTGTGGAAGGTTAGAAACATTGTGTTGGCTGGCATCAACATGCCAATAACTCCCAAGATATTAGCTGTCATCCAGAACTCTCTCCTCTGAGCTCCAGACTCATTTAGCTCTAGATGTATTTTCAACAATTCTGCTCCAGTGTTTCATTGGCTTCATTAAACTAATGATTACCTAAAAATTAAACACTTTTTCTTCTAAACAAATTTGTTCCAACTTTAACCCCTTTCCATTTTAGTAAAAGAAACTAATATATATCAAATTTCTCCCACCAGAATGCAACTGGTTGCTTTACCAATGACTGGCAGTAATTAGAAGAGGGCCAGGCAAAAAAATTTATCACTTTGATATCTATATTTTCCAATAAAAATTCAAATTATGCTAAGGTGTAGTGATTAACCTGATGTCACATAAATTCACCATGCTAGAGTAGTTATGATATTATTTTCAATTTCAAATTTTGATTGAGGAAAAGATGCTAAAAAATTAGGACTCTGGGTGCAGTCATCCATTTGTTCATTAAGTCATGTATTTAGCAAGCATGCTAAGTACTTTTAAGCATTTTGGGCACAAAGATGTTAATGAGCACAAAGATGTGGGTATAGGATGTGTGCTAAAAATGCAAATTCAAAGATATAGTGCTTTCCCCAAGGAAACTAAATACAGCAAAGAGGCAAGATTGTATAGTCTAGTAGTATTTACAGTCTAGACAAGAGCATGGACTGTCCTGGGAGTGTCCATTTCAGGTAAATTATCATCATCATGAGCTGTGAGCAAGAGAAAGAGAAATATGAAAGCAGCAGGTGACCAGGAAATTAGCATTATTCCCAATGCCACAGAAGGAAGAAGAAAAGCTATAAAAACAAATTTAAGAGGAAATGAATTGCTAAGCACAGTCTGGTATGAATTTGATAGGTGAGAGAATTCTGCAGTTGCAAAAAAAGATGTGTGTTATTCGCTGGAGACATGGTAAAATAGAATGTATTTTTAGAGGAGTTTCATATTACAGAGTTATGTCTTAGGTGAAGGCAGAACTCTTTAAGCTGTGCCCATAGTTAAAGGAGTCTTTCTATTTCTGACAGAAGACAACCACAAAAAAAAAACAGTTAAGATGTTGGAATACCTGGGCAAAGATGTTCTTCATGGTGTTTTTAATTATTTGGCAAAACACGATGTTCTGACATTGAAGGAAGAGGAAAAGAAAAAATATTATGATACCAAAATTGAAGACAAGGCCCTGATCTTGGTAGACTCTTTGCGAAAGAATCGCGTGGCTCATCAAATGTTTACCCAAACACTTCTCAATATGGACCAAAAGATCACCAGTGTAAAACGTAAGGTTGCATCTAACACGATAAATATGTTAAATTTTCCAGAATATATTCAACTCCAAGGCCCATGCAGTGTTATCTGTGATCTACCTACAGTTTCATTTCTAAACTCTCATTTTCAGTAAACATGTCATCATCCTGTTAGAGACCACCTTGTCTTTTATGGGACGGGATCAAATTTCCAATTAGCCAAAAAGCTGTGTCCTTGTGTTTAGACTGTGCACAGAAATAGTTAATAAGGGAGATTTTTTAGTAGGAGATACCTAAACCCAAACTTAGATTCTGTCACATGTGAACTATGCAGCTTCATGCAAGTTTCTTGACCTTCCATTCTCCCTAGTCATCAGTCTTACCACCTGTGAAATGTGGGCAATTCCAGCACTTTCTCACAAGACTGTCTACAGCCAGAAACATTGTAATGCCAGGCACCACATGCCAACAACTTCCAAGATACCAGCTCTCATTCAGGACTCTCTCATCTGAGCTCCAGACTCATTTAGCTCTAGCGGCATATAAAACAATTCTGCTCCAGTGTTTCACTGGCATCACAAAATGAATACAGCTAAAATTAAATGCTTTGTTTTCCAGAATAAACGTGCTCCACTTTTAACCCTTTTCCGCTTCAGTAAAAAGAAGTAACATGCACCAAGTTTCTGCTACCAGAATGTAACTGGTTTCTTCACCAATTAATAAGAGTAATTAATGGAGATCCTGGCACATAGCAGATACCTAATTAATGTGTGATGAATAAACAAATGAAGTATACGCATGCAATAAAGAGTGCTTTCTTAATTATTATTTGGGCGCTACAAATTGGAATTTTCCAATGCTTACTCATTTCTGTGAGTTACAAAATTATGATCAGGGAACTACTATAAAATGTTTAAATTTTATAACATTTCAAAACTTTTGACACGGATTGAATTATCAGTATTATTAGAGCCTAAATGTTCTCAGATCCATGTTTTCCAGGGAAGGACTCAATTTGCCATAGACTTTAAACTGAAATCTTCAGCCCTGAACTACTACAGCTTACCAATAATCACATACGATCATGAACATAAAGCAACATAAATTGTTCAAACCTCACTATACAAAATAAACTCCCCTTCTCTGTGGGGAAAGTTTCCCCTCAACAGAAACCACATGCTAGTATAGTTGTCCAAGATTTTAGGCAAGGATGCATTCTTATTAATATTTAAACTGGTCTTTTGCAAGTATTTTCCTTTTCCTCAAACCTGGAATGGCATGAGGAAAAAATATCGGTTTTTAAAAATCAGAGATAATGCAACAAATAGGAATCATATTTGTAGCAATACGGGCTTCAAAATGATTTTAGCAATCCCAGATATCATATATGATGAGCACTAAACTCTAAACTGAATTAGCCTATCTGATCAGCAGAGGCTGTGGCAAGAAGGAGGCAGCTGCAGATCCCTGCAGGAGGGGTCCAGTGGCTCTCTGCACTCTATCTGCATTTGTATTCTCCAGAATGATCGATCCCAGAATACTTTGAGTACACTGGCACAGCAGACCAGGAAGCTGGGTGGGCTGGGCTATTAGAAGAGGTACAGGCCTTGGCTAGGCCTTTGGATATGGTTATAATTATGAGGGTTTCCAACAAAGCATTGGATTCTGGAGTGCAGGATAAGAAGAATCCTAGCTATTCATTTGTTATTTAACTGTTTACACACACACACACACACACACACACACACACACACACACATATATATATACACACTATATACCGATGATCTGATTTAGTCAGGAGATAACCACCTAAGTCCCTATGTGCTGTGGGAAATTGCTTTACTGATCCTGTACCACTCCACTACTCCCTTTCTTGTTGTGTCAATGTTAAGAGATTCCTGAGCAGATTCCTGAGAGATTCCTGTTTCATTAGATAATAGATAAGACTCAAATTGAAATTTTTATCTAAACTCCTGATTTCCACATTACTTCCTGTTGCACTGCCAGGCTAATAGAAACTCTCTTTGGAAGGAGACTGCACTATAATATTTATTATTTTGTAATAAAATAATATTTTTGTACTAATTCTACTACTGGATATAAGATAGAATTTCTGTCTAATTTCTAATTTTACTGGAAAACACCTGTTCTACACACAGACACATAAAAGTCTTAGGAGATGACTGTTAAGTTGGAAGTTCTCCAAACCTTTAAACAGGAAAACATACCCTCAGACCAGTAATATCCCAGGACCCTAGATGTCTTCACATTGGCAGACTTTTCTGAAATGAGAAGAAAAAGCATCTGTCACTGTTTAATCTATGAAAAAAGAGATGCTTAGAAGGTATGGTTTCCTTACACACTTAGAACTTATTGCATTCCCAGAACTCACGCTTTTATCATACTCTTTAGCAAGACATTTACTTTAAAATATTATTAAAAATGAAGAGAAACAAATGATTGATATATAAAAAATACATGAAATATTTAAAAACAATATAAATTTTATACAGAACAATATTACTTTACTCATGATTCCTATGTCTTGGTTGGGTCACGTAACCAAACATAAAAGTATACTTGTCCATTTCTTTCATGAAAAGAAATCTTGTTATTAGATCTTACTAAATTCTTCTTTGAATTTGTATACATAAATTCCTTTTTCTTTTCCAGAAGGAGGGCTCAATAATCTCCCAGTTTTTTGCACAATATCGGTCAAAAGAGATCAATATTACATTTCACAAGGGGATAGATCAGAATTACTCAGAAGCAAACTTATCCAAAACAGATGTATTATTTCCTCACATTATAAAATATGAGTTGGACAGTGTTGGCTGTCCAGCAGTTTAGAGACAAGATGTTCAGAGTTACGTCAGAATCTCATACAAATATTTGTCCCTTTGACCTTGGACACAGTACTATTGTGTACTGTGTTGTCACTAGACAACCTTTCTTCATAAATAGGTGATTTCACAATTTGTTGAAAGATAACTGAAGCTTATTTCTTCTAGAATAATTATTAATTCACATAAAAGTTGCTTAAAAAATACCAGGATGGTACAGGATTCAATATTCTATCAAACGTTTGTTGTATACATGTATCTGTATGTGGTGTGAACTAGGAGGGGACTATCAATCCAAAATGGGATGTTGTCCCATCCACTTTTGTAGCCACCAGACATAACTTGTGGCTAGTGACATATGTTGAAATAATAATATTTTGAATATATTATGTTAAATAAATATATTATTACAATTATTTTTACCTTTTGTAAATGTGATATTAGAAAATTTAATATTGCATATGGAACTCACATTGTATTTCAAATAGCACTCTGACAAGTATTTACTTAGCACACTCTTGCCCAGACACAGCAGAAAGTCCAAATAAATGAATGAGTACCCTAGCGTAAAACCACTGGAAAAATCAAACTGTTTTTCTGAATATAGAAAAGCCAAATTTAACTTTAAATCATCAAGATTTTTTCTCCAGAATAATCGGAATCTATAGTTGCATCTTCTTCTTGGTGGGGTTGTGGGAGTCTGCTTTCTCTATCAGGGAATTCTCACAACACATTTCCTTAAGCTGGAAATTAGGTACAGCTATAACCCCTAAATATAAAGAGTCTTTTTCCTAGGATTTCTCTCTCTCTCTCTCTCAAAGTTCTTAGGTGATAAATTGGGTCACAGAGGCAGAAACCATAATTTATATTTTGTGATATCCCACAGCTCTTCTGCAAATCGAGGCTGGACCACCTGAGTCAGCAGAATCTACAAATATACTCAAACTTTGTCCTCGTGAAGAATTCCTGAGACTGTGTAAAAAAAATCATGATGAGGTGCTGTGCTCTCTGTATGAAATGGGGAAGAAGAGAGAAACAATTGCTTTCATTAAATGCAATGCACATTTTTAAAAATGGGGTCTTGCTCTGTTGCCCAGCCTGGAGTGCTGTGGTGTGATCATAGCTGACTGCTATCTTGAACACATGGGCTCAAGAGATTCTCCAGCCTCAGCCTCCCAAGTAGTTAGCACTACAAATGCACACTACCTTGCCAGGCTGATTTTTTTTTTAATTTTTGTAGAGATATAGTCTCCCTATGTTGTCCAGTCTGTTCTCCAAATCCTATCTTCATGAGATCCACAGCCTTGGCCTCCCAAAGCACTGGGATTACAGGCGGGAACCACAGTGCCAGCCATAAATGCACAAATACTTAAAGCACTAAATGATGAGGGGGTGGTGACAGTGGTAACCTTTATGATAGATGCTTTCAGCAGGCAAGGGTTCATATGGCTTCAAACAAATACCAGTGCTCATTCAATCCATGATAAAATGTAGCTTTCTCTTTTTTATCATTTATTGATTTTTGTATCAATTTGGGATTTATTACAATTTCAGATAAAGCCACAAAATAAAATGTTTATAACATGGCTGAGTAGTAATTGTTTATACCCAGTTGAAAAGCCTAGACATAAAATATATTTGAAAAGTATAATTAAATCTTGAAAATCATTGTAAGTTTATGTTTTTAAAATAGTACCAAAATAATCATAATACGGAAGGCAAAGAAAATTTGCTATATTTATTTTTACTGGAGCCGATGACAACACCTCTTGGTTTATATGAAATTTGATTTGAACCTAAATATAAGAAATGTTTGAGTAGGTGGAGAAGAAAAAGGAGAAGGAAGGGGGTAGGAATTATTCTAGTTTCCTCAAGATTCTAGAGTGATCATTCCAGATATGTCCTGGTTCTTGCTCTGGGCTCTTGAGAGAGAGGAAGGCAGTGTCTTCTGATAGAGGTTAGGGAAGGTGGCAGCTGCATGAGGTCTTAAAAAAGCAAAATTGTGAGGCATATGGGGGTTGAAAAGAGACTCGGGTAATCAAAGTTGCTTCATCTCCATCTCCTGCAGATCTATCCAATAAAAAAGAGAGAGGACCGCAGACGCCTGGCTCTCATCATATGCAATACAAAGTTTGATCACCTGCCTGCAAGGAATGGGGCTCACTATGACATCGTGGGGATGAAAAGGCTGCTTCAAGGCCTGGGCTACACTGTGGTTGACGAAAAGAATCTCACAGCCAGGGTAAGAACCCCTAAGCCATCTCACACTCATCCATAGGCAACACAGATTCTTCTAATAATTAGTTAGCTTTATAGAAGTTCAACAAGGTTTAACAACCTCTGGGTTCGTGTGCGTGTGTGTGTGTGTGTGTACATGCGCACATGCACTAGCAAATGAAATTATTGAACACATAAATCAGTGTCTCTTTTGAGCCTCAAATACCCTCAACTCCATAAAACTAGACAAAATATGATTGGCATGTATTTTCGCAATTGTTACTGAGTTCCAATAAGATCAGGTGATTGGGATGTAGCCCCAAGATTCCACATAAAATCACAGAGTAATGTGTTTTAGGCAGGAGGGCACTCTATTTTTATTTTTATTTATTTTTTGAGACCAAGTCTCACTCTGTCGCCCAGGCTGGAGTGTAGTGGCGTGATCTTGGCTCACTGCAACATTCACCTTCCACAAGCGATTCTCCTGCCCTACCGAGTAGCTGGGGCTACAGGAGCGTGCCACCACGCCCGGCTAATTTTCTCTATTTTTAACAGAGATGAGGTTTCACCTTGTTAGCCAGGATGGTCTCGATCTCCTGACCTCGTGATCTGCCCGCCTTGGCCTCCCAAAGTGCTGGAATTACAGGCGTGAGCCACCGCACCCGGCCCAGGAATGCACTCTTAAAACAAATATTAAATCCAAACTTTGGGGCCAAGAGCTTTTCCTGATACTGTGGATAAGTCTGTAAATGATACCAGAAGTTTCAAATTGCAAGGATCTAGGTTAGAGTGGAGGTAAAATCTCACAATATAAACGAAACCGGACAATTTCAGATAATGAGTGTGTGTATGTGTCTATATAAGAATAACAAGAGAATCCAAAGTAAGCAAAAAGGAAACATGAGAGAGAATGTTGGATGGGGTGCGATGTTTTTGGGTTGGTCCAGAAAAGCCTCTGTGGGGAGAGAACACAGGAGTTGGACGGCACTACCGGAAGGAATGGAATGGCTCTGGGAAGATGAGAATGCAGCGCCTTCCCAGTAGGGGGCGCTACCTGTGAAAGAGCTGAGCTGAAAATGAAACTGGCACATGTGAGGCACAACAGATCAGTGTGACTAGAGATTGAAGCAGAACAGACATAGTATAAGGATGAGTATGGTCAGGCCAGAAGATTGATTTTATTCTAAGCAACGTATGTTGGGTTTTACAAGGACAGTGGTGTGATGCGTTTATAACACATGACTCTTGTTAGGAAAGGAGAGAAAAGATTGAGATAAAAAAAAGTAATATAAGTAACATATAAAAATATACAATATATTAAGAAGACAGTGTATGGTGTGTCAGCAGGGAGAAAAAGTAGGAACCCACAGCCCCATTACAAAGGAAAAAAAAAACAAAACAAAAAAACATAAAACTGCTGTCATGACTGAGTAAGCGCTATGTGAAGCACCACGACCCGGATGTTACATATGTTTCTTGTTTCGCTCATGGTAAATCTAGGAGGTCCTATTAATTGTGATGCTTCTCTGACTGAAGTTAGACATTGCTCTTTTATAGGATATGGAGTCAGTGCTGAGGGCATTTGCTGCCAGACCAGAGCACAAGTCCTCTGACAGCACGTTCTTGGTACTCATGTCTCATGGCATCCTAGAGGGAATCTGCGGAACTGCGCATAAAAAGAAAAAACCGGATGTGCTGCTTTATGACACCATCTTCCAGATATTCAACAACCGCAACTGCCTCAGTCTAAAGGACAAACCCAAGGTCATCATTGTCCAGGCCTGCAGAGGTGGTGAGTGCTGAGGCTGAACATCTAACAGTTTTGAAGGTGTATGCAGAGGATTGTGATGTTTGGTTTATATTTAGGGGAAACAATGTTAGACCCCATCCAGTGCAAATAAAGTACATTGAATTATGAAGAAACTCTACCTAAGGGGCTGATATAATGAGAAATTGTCTCATCAGTGGAGAAATTTCTGTACAATTTTATCCACGGTGATAGTGGTGAAGGAAGTGGTGAAGGAGATCATCAGAATCCCTAAATCAAAGTTAAACAGAAATATTCAAACTTTGAAATGGAATCATTTACATGATAGCTTGATTTGTAAATGATTTACAGACATGTTGACATTATGTGGTTTCTGAAGAATTTGCACTTGAAACTGAAGTTATTATGTGATACAAGCACCCTATTTATTCACAATTATTGAAGGGAAAATGAGTTGGGAGTTAAGGAAACTTGAGGGGATTTAAGTCAATCTTCTCTCTCCCTCTTTTTATTCCTGACTTCCAATTACCTCATGACTATTGGGATGTATATTTTGTTTTGTTTCTTTAAGAAAGCAGCAATAATTTAACTGAAAACTGGTAATGACATGATAAATTCACTATTAATTTACACATTGTTGAATGACACTAGAGACAAAGCAAAATGTGTGTGTGTGTTTGCATGTGTGTGGGTCTGTATGTATGTATGAAATTAGTTAGAAAGAACACTGAAAAATAACAAGGTGGGCAATTGTGATAGCCATGCTAAGTGAGGCACATCAGTGTATAAAAAGTTGATGTCTCTTGATCCAACCCAAATGTCCATCAATGATAGATAGACTGGACAAAGAAAATGTGGTACACATATCCCATGGAATACTGTGTAGCCCTAAAAGGAATGAGATCATGTCCTTTGCAGGGACATGAATGAAGCTGGAAGCTATCATCCTCAGCAAATTAACACAGGAATAGAAAACCAAACACCACTTGTTCTCACTTATAAGTGAGGGTTGAACAATGAGAATACATGGACACAGGGAGGGGAATATCACACACCGGGGCCAGTCGGGGGGTGGGCGACAAGGGGAAGGAGAGCCTTAAGACAAATACTTAATGCATGTGGGCTTAAAACCTATATGATAGGTGCAGCAAACCACAATGGTACATGCGTAACTATGTAACAAACCTACACGTTCTGCATTTCTATTCTGGAACTTAAAGTAACATAAAAAAAAAAGAAAGTTGATGTCTCTACAGAAAAACATGGGGAACTCTGGGTCAGAGACTCTCCAGCATCCTTGGCACTCATCTCTTCACAGTCATCTGAGAACCTGGAGGCAGATTCTGTTTGCAAGATCCACGAGGAGAAGGACTTCATTGCTTTCTGTTCTTCAACACCACGTATGTGTCTTTTAGTAACAGTCAAAAATTTGGGGGTGCTGAGGCCACCTTTGAATGATTCTATGAAATCAAGATAGGCCCTATGCAACAATGAGCTGAGAGAATGGTGTGTGCTCTCTATATATTTTGCATGATCTTATGTGTGCTGTGAGAATAGATTCCTTCCCCCTCCCACACACACATTTTAAAAAACTGTACTTTTATTATAAGTGTTACACTTTACAGTCAAAGGCATACCAAATATTAAAGCAATACAATACAAGGAACCCCATTCGCCACACACCATGTAAACATAGATGATGGATGCTGTTTTTTTAATAAATCCATTTAACATTTTGAATAGAAGTTTTATGGATCCCAGTACTGGCTGTCTTTCCAAACGATCAACTTCAAGCCCTCTTCTACATATATCCCACTTGATCCTACAAAGAGCAATGTTATTAAGTGTCCAGATAAAAATGTGAATGAGCTTTAAAAAAGGTAAGAAATGTTAGGGTGGAGCTAATTAGGTCTAATTACAGGAAACAGTCGTTTGTATTTCACCTCTAGGTAATCATCCTAAAGGGCTTTCTATTTTACTCTTTCCAAGTTGTAAATTTTCAAGTCTTATTTTTAAACCACTTTATGGAGGCATAGCTGACATATGAAAACTGTACATATTTAATGTATGCAACTCAATAAGTTTGGAGATTAGTACACACCCCTAAAATCATCACCCAAATCTATGCTGTAAACATCTCTCCTCCAAAAGATTCCTCCAGCTCTCTATTTATTATTATCATCATTCTGCAAGGGTGTGATAAGGATAATTTACATAAGATCTACTCTCTGCAAATTTTTAAGTATATAAGACAGTATTATTTACTATTGGCACCATATTATACAGTATTTTTCTATATTTTAATCTTCTATAACTGAAACTTTGGATGTGTTCATCTATTTTGTTTATTTTATGGTGAAAGACATCATGGTGCAATCTGTAAACAATCTTGGAGCCCGACGGTAGTTTTTTGTTGCTTCCTCACTGAACCTAAAAGTTTATTCATCCTTCTGAGCTTCTATTCTTTCCTTTGTAAAGTGAAAGAATTCCAGTTATTTCTCAAGTCCCCTTTTCTAAGCAAAGTGAATGAACATGAGGTCCATAATAAAAAGTTAGTTCCAAGAATCAAAATACAATCACTATGCAATCTCTTGCAATACTTACAAGCTGTCTTTTTTGTTCAACCTTTGCCAGCTTTTCTGTTTCCTCTGTGTGAAACCTAAGTAAATGTTTGGTTATAAGGGATTTCCATAAATCTATCAAGTAAATTCTCAAGCTATGCAAAAACAAAAATATAAACAAAAACATAGTGAAAGTCGTAGCCCAAGGCATACCAGGCTGTATCATCATAGATAACGTGTCCTGGAGAGACCGCACAAGGGGCTCCATCTTCATTACGGAACTCATCACATGCTTCCAGAAATATTCTTGCTGCTGCCACCTAATGGAAATATTTCGGAAGGTAAGCTTCCATTTCCTTTTCTAGTCATTTACTTATTTGCTCAGAAAGAATTTATCATTATTCACTAATCGAATAAAAATGACACAGTTTTTCAGGCAAGCAAAAGTAGTATGGCACCTGATTTCTGTCATTCAGGTGTTTAAAATCTGCTTTAGAGAAAGAAAATGTCAATATATCCCAGAAGAAGAGCAAAGTAAAACAAAATAATATCAGCTATAAGCTTCCTATTTTGGGTTATAACTTATTAAAATTCAGAGAATAGAAAATATTTTGAAATAATTTTTGTTAATTTACTAAATGAATAAAAACTGGATGGAGGTGAGGGGCTTCATCCTGATGACAAAGGGGTAAATGAGGCTTGCATGGCTTAAGACTATCTAGGACTCACACTTTTGTGAGAGATATGGATACTGAAAATATGGGTTAACAAAAAAATGTGCAATTACAGATTGTGGTAGAATTCATAAAGGCATGTAACAGGGAATAAAAAAGAAATCACTCTTTCCATGGGAAAGGGCAGAAGGGAAGGTTTGCTACTCCTTGCCCAACTTGGGACATTCCTTATTCCCCATCCTTCCTACTTTATTTTCTCCACAGTTCTTACCTCCTCCCATTAAGCATATATTAATAGTTTATTTATGTGTCTGTTTTTTACCTGTATTTACTCACTAATATGCAAACTTCAGGATGGCGGGGATTTGCTCAGCACCTCAATATGCCTGACATATAGCAGACATTCAATTAATATATATTGAATAAATAGATGCATGAATGAATAGATAAATGTTCCTTCTCTTTTTAAGGGAAAATAGGATTGGTATTAACACAGGAAAGTGTGGTTGTTTCTAAATTAAAAATTATAGAGAACAGTAAAACTCTTGTGGGAAAAGGAAGATATACCACTGGTGTTTAAAGAAGATTGTACCATAAATTGAGATGGGGTTTCTGTGAATAGAGAACTGGGAAGTTAAATCCTTTTGGATGATTAGGAATTAGACATTGTACTTTTGAGGGTATTCCTGGGAAAAGAACTAGAAATATTGGATTTACGGTAAGCAGGATCTCATTGATCAGTCCATGCATAAGATTTCAGAGGTCAGCATGGTGGTGTGGGCATGAAAGTTGTTCAGTGTTCAGGCCTTAAAGCAAGATTCTGGGATTTAATTCTCCTTAAATTGAAGAATCAGCGTTGGTGGGGGTTGAAAGTACTAAATCTTCCATATCCAGTTCTCATGAGCATATCCCAAAGGATATTTAATTGATTTCCACATCCGTAGGTCAAAAATGGAAAATAGAGAAAATGGAGGTTGAAAAGCCTTGACTAGGCATGCAGTGTTTATTTTGATGTAAAGTGTACAGTATGACATGGGGTGTCAATTCTAAGAGGTAGAGTAGCAGTGTTAAGGAGTTGGAATATCCATGGGCTTGGTCCTATCAACCCTGGAAGCTCTCTTCATTCAGGCATTTCCTGGTTCATGGTGTAAGATGCATTCTGAGAACCCAAAATCCCTCATATCTCATCTACTGTTTTTTCTTTTAGGTACAGAAATCATTTGAAGTTCCACAGGCTAAAGCCCAGATGCCCACCATAGAACGAGCAACCTTGACAAGAGATTTCTACCTCTTTCCTGGCAATTGAAAATGTAAGTATTGAGAGTTGTTGGAGGGTGAAATAAATGAAAGAGCTATATCGGTGGTGAAGTTCAATGACCAATGACAGCTGACTGCTTATATGGTCAAGTTAGTGTTCTTTATTGATGTAGTCTGGTGAGTATTTATTTGCTCTTTTTTATTCTACTTATATGCATTTAGTTTCCCTCAACTATATAATCAATCAAAGGGTAAGGAAAATTGCAGCAAAATGTAATACACAATGAAAGTCCTAGGTTAGTAATTATTAAAATAATAATGTACAAATATTACCATTATTAATTATGTTCATTTATCTCTCATACACTCCCTCTCTTTGTCTCTCTCTCTGTTTCTCTCCCACCTGCCACACTTAGTTACCAAACAGTGCATCAGACCTTGAACAAAACAGAGTAAACACAGGAGCTATCTATGGGGAAAGCAGGGCTTTGGTCCTCTGAGTGCACATATCACATTACTGTTGTTGACTTTCTCCTTAGTTCAGCTAAAGATGGGGTCCTTGTCACACGACCATGAGAAATTAGACTCACAGACAATCTGAAAGGTGAGGAGGGCAGGGTTTATTGTGTGAAAAGGAAAAAAATGGGAAACAGACCCTTCACAGAGCCAGAGTCCTGCTAATGCCCTTCCTGCCTCGCAGATTGAATACCAGGTACCACCCAGGAAGAGGAGGGGCCAGGCTTCTCCCTGCTGCAAATGGCATGAACTTCCCAAGGCTCCACCCCAGTGTGCATTCTTCCCAGTGCACAGTCTGGTGGGAGGTTCTGCCAGGGAGCCCTTTTTACTTGGCTGTCTCATTACTGACATTCAGCCACAGTTATGGGACTGTAGAAAATACATGCTCAACTATAGGTACTTTATTCAGGAAAACCTGCCTTGAAATAATGAAATTGGAATAAAGAATGCACAGAGTTGGAGAGTGAATCATGTGGTTCTTATGCAGGAGAGGTGTTCCAGCACAGAATACAAGTGCAAATGCCCTGGGGCAGAAATATGCTGAACAGGTTTAAAAAGAACTACAATGAGATAGTGTGACCAAAAGAGAATGCAAGTGAGGGAACTGACAGAGACAAATTAGGAGAAACAGTGAGGAGCCTCATCACAATGTGCTTGAACATCACATGGTAAATCTTTAAAAAAATATTATCTGAGTAGATAGGAAACCCTTCCAGTGCTTTGGAAAAGAGAAGTGACATAATTTAACTTAGGTTTTACAAAGATATTCCTGAGTACTTTTCACTAAATAGACACAGAGGTCACAGATGGAAGTCGAGGGAAATGGCAAAAGCATATGGCAGAAGATGGAAGAAGAATCATAATGAAGGATGGGATGAAGGCAGTGAGGGGTAACCATCTTGACCTTCTGTCCTTTCTCTCTTCTGCAGGAAACCACAGGCAGCCCAGCCCTCCTCTGTCAACATCAAAGAGCACATTTACCAGTATAGCTTGCATAGTCAATATTTGGTATTTCAATAAAAGTAAAGACTGTATCTTTTTAGATTGTATGAACTGTATCTTTTTAGATTCTCTAATAGACAATATAATTTCAATGAAAATGGTGGACGAGTGAAAATGAAGTGGAAGAAACTAACTAGATTTTCGAGTTTTATGGCTCATGTAACATCTATACTTGGCTGATGAAGACGACTGGCTGTGACTTACCGCCAACAATAGAATGAAAGAAGATGGTGTTAAAAGTATAAGATACCACCTCATACCCATTAGAATGACTCCCATCAAAACATACAAACAAACACAAAATAACAGGTGTTTGCAGGGATGTAGAATAATCGGAACCCTGTGCTCTGTTGGTGACAATGTCAAATGGCACCACTGTGGAAAACAGTATGGAAGTTCCTCACAAAATTAAAGCTAGAATTATCATAGGATCCAGAAACTCCACCTTTGGGTACATCCCTAAAATAATTGAAAGCAGGGTCTCAAAGATACACTTATACACCCATATTCATGGCAACGTTGTTCATGATATCTAAAATGTGGAAGCAACGAAAGTATCCATGGACTGAAAAATGGATAAGTAAAATATTGTATATAGATATAATAAAATATAATTTAGCATAGAAAGGAGGGAAGTTCTGACATATGCTAAAATATAGAGGAACTTTGAGGACATTATGCCAGGTAAAATAAGCCATTCACACACACAAAAATACAATATGATCACACTTATATGAGGTACCTAGATTATCAGATTCACAGAGACAGAAAGTAGAATGGTGATTGCCAGGTGCTAGGGCAGGAGAAAATGAAGTGTCATTTAATGGTTATAAAGTTTCAGATTTACAAGATAGAAAGAATTCTGGAGGTAGATGGGTGATTGTTGTGCAAAATTATGAATGTATTTTAATACTATTTGGCTGTACACTTAAAATTGTTAAGCTTGTAATTTTGTTATGGCATTTTACTACGATAAAAATTGCAAAAATATAATGATATAATTGAAAGTGAGAAGGTATGAGGGCAACATTAATCAACTTACATAGAGAAAATTTAACTACTGAGCAACATTGATGAAAGAAGAAATTAGGATTAAATATATTATTTATTGTTCCACAATTAATCAATAAAAAGTATGAACATCATGACATCATCAAATATTAGGTAGAATAGACCAGATATGTGGCTATGTAAGTGAGCTGCATCTCATTTTTCATATCAGGTAGTCAATGGCATTGTTTATGTTCTATATTTCGGGAAACACAGAGGTATAATAGTCATTATTGAGAATTCCAAATGTTACTGCCAAACAAAACAAAACAAAAATAATTGAAGGAAATTACCTCTAGTATGTGGGACTAAAGGTGGGGAGAGTTGTACTGGGAAATATGATTTTTATTGTATTCTTTTCTGTACTATGGACTGTCTCATGAATGTATTACTTTGACAAAATATTTAAAATTATATTGAATTGACACTTTTAATAATTTATAGATTTCTAAAAATCAGGTAGTATTGAATTTTAATGTGTTGAATTTTTAAAGGGTTTGTCCTATGTTGTGAAGCAAAGATTAAACAAATGGAGCAAATTGTTGATAATATATGATACTGGTGCTATAAGGAAAAAAGGTATAGGTAAATATGTGTCTGCCAGTTATTTATTTATGGGTATCAAAACACCCAAAACCTCAGTAGTTTAACACAATAAGCATTTGCTATTGTTCACAAGGTTACCAGTTAGCTAGGTAGGTCTTGACTCTGCTGAGATTATCCATGTGTCTGAGATCACCTCTGCATGGGGTAGGCATCTTTACTGAAAGGCTGGGATCTCTCATATGTTTGGAAAGCACATGGCTGGTCTAGAATGACCTTGGCTGGCTGGGGCAGCTGGGCTCTTTTCCACATGATGTGTCTTATTAGCCAGCAATGTGGCTCAGGCTCGTCCTCATTTAGGTTCAGGTGTCCACGAGGAAGAAGAGCACCAGGCTTCATAAAGCCTGAGCTGGGAATTGCACGAGATCCTTCTACTGCATTATGTTGGCCAAAACCAAGTCATAAGACTGTTACAGGGTTGAAGCAAAGGTCAAGGATACTAGGAAGCCAATGATTAAGGAAATCAATAAAATCGGTAATATATTAAGTGTTTTACAAAAGCATAGAAAAAATTCAGAAAGATGCAAGCTAAACATATAATTGGGGTTACCTTGTGTCAAATTAAAGAGTGTGGATAATCCTTTTCCACTTTACAAACTTTTCTATTGTTTAATTTTAGTGGCAAACCTATATTTATTATTAAAAAATGATTTAAGTATCAGTCTTTTGTATATTTAACAAACAAAAAAACCCAAGTGAGTGTGATAGATAAACAATACCCCAATTGACACATGAACAGAATTGGAGAGAGAAGAAAAGAGATCACTTATGCGACTTTTTGAAATAGTGAAGGGAGTATCACTGGCAGCCTTAAGTCAGCCTCTGTCCCCTCACCTTCCAAATTTATACTTCCAGGGTTGTGCAGGCAACAGTGGAGTGAGAACTCCCAGCAATTTAGAGACTAGTGGTGGTACAATGAAAAATAGGAGTTTAATTTGAGTTATTAACGGTGTTAAAAATTGACAGGAAAACAGAACACAGAGACTTATGTTTGCATGTAAGTGTGCATGCTTTTATTATGATAAATTTGTTATATCAAAAAGAGAATTTTATAAGGGGGAGGAAAAATCACGCACCAAAATTGAGAGTGCAAAACGATAAGACAAATTTGGGAATTAAAAAAATTGTATGGTTGCAATGTAAAAGTTGAAGTATGGTTTGAAAAGATTAGATGTACTGATGAAATATATAGGAGTAATTATTTGTCCTGGGGACAGTGTAAATTATTTTAGAATATTATTAAACAGGGGCGTTATTTATAGTCAGATTTATAATTAAGAAAGATGGCTTGCAGAATGGACAGCAGGTTGAATGGCATACAGGAAGCCAAAATTGCCTGTGTTACAATTCTTTGCCAAGACTCTTAAAACTAAGGTTGGATAGAATTAGAATTCGTAACTAGGAATCAAAGTAAAAATGAATTGGGTTCAAATAATATGAGTTCTTTTTCTGTTAGTCTTTCATTTCCAAACGACTTCTCTTTCCCTCCATTCATATATGTAGCTATCTTCCATTGGAGATAATAATAATCAGTAATGTCACCCAAAGAGAAAAGAAGAATTTGACTTAAAAGGGGAAAATTAGACTTAAAATATATTAAAAAAATACTCTCTTATCTGCCTTGAAGGGCAGGCATTTTCTGAAATAAAGACAAGAATTTAGTGAAACTATTTTCCTTTACCCAGAAGGATCCACCCCGTTCCTTTTTTCCCTAACATCCAGTGAAAGAAGTAAATAGTGTTGACATATACTCACATTAGCAAGTATTTACACATATTTTGAAAGTTTTAATTTTAAAGACATGGTCCCTGTAATCTTTTGCCTTGTAATCTTTTGATCCATAATCCCACCATCATTTTTAGTTGGAGAATATGTATAACAACAGAGAAAAGTATGAGATGCTTTTTAACTTTTAATTTTGGTGTTATCACAAATAATGAATGCACTTATGAGATACATGGGATATATTGATACAGACATTCAATGTATAATAATCACATCATGAAAAAATAGAATATTTATACCCTCAAGCATTTATCCTTTGTGTTATAATCAAATTATCCCCTTTTAGTTATTTTTTAATGCGCAATTAAATTATTTTGACTATAGTCACCTGGGGTGCTGTCAATTACTAGGTCTTATTCATTCATTCTAATAAATTTTGTACCTATTAACCATTCCCACCTCCTCCTGCAACCCTCCACTACCCTTCCAGCTTCTGGTAATCAACTTTCTACTCTCTATACTCATAAGTTCAATTGTTTTTATTTTTAGATTCCACAAATACATGAAAACATGTGATGTTTGTCTTTCTGTGGCTGGCTTGTTTTGCTTAATGCAATGATCTCCCATTCCATCCATGTTGTTGCAAATGACAGAATCTCAGTCTTTCTTATGGCTGAATAGTACTGCATTGTGTATATGTACCATATTTTTTTTATCCATTCATCTGTTGATGGACACTTAGACTGCTTCCAAATCTTAGCTGATGTAAACAGTGCTGCAAAAAAATATGGGAGTGCAGATGTCTCTTCAATATACTGATTTTCTTTCTTCTGGCTACATACCCCGAAGTGGAATTGCTGGATTATATGGTAGCTTTATCTTTAGTTTTTTTTGAGAAGGCTCCAAACTCTTCTTCATAGTGGTTGTACTAATTTACATTCCCAACAGTGTATGAATGTTTCCTTTTCTCTGCATCCTCACCAGCACTGTTTATTGCCTATCATTTGGATAAAAGTCATTTTAACTGGGGTGAGATGATGTATCATTGGAGTTTTGATTTGCATTTCTCTGATCATCAATGGTGCTGAATATCTTTTCATAAGCCTGTTTGTTGTTTTTATGTTTTCTTTTGAGAAATATCTATCCAAATCTTCTACCCATTTTTATTTTTTTCTTTTACCCATTTTTAAATCAGATCATTAGATTTTTTTCTTATAGAGTTGTTTCAGCTCCTTATAAATTTTGGTTATTAATCCCTTTTCATTTGGAGAGTTTGCAAATATTTTCTCCCATGCTGTTGGTTGTCTTTCACCTTGATTATTTTCTTTATTCCACAGATGCTTTTTAACATGATATGATTCTATTTGTCCATTTTTGCTTTTGTTTCTTGTGCTTGTGGGGTATTACTCAAAAAATTTTTGCCCACACCAATGTTCTAATAGTTTCCCTAATGTTTTATTTTAGTAGTTTCATAATTTGAGGTCTTAGATTTAAATCTTTCATCAGTTTTGATTTTGTTTTTGTATGTGGCAAGAGATAAGGTTATAGTTTCATTCTTCTGCAAATGGATATCCTGTTTTCCCAGCACCATTTATTGAAAAGGCTATCTTTTCCCCAGGGTATATTCTTGACACCTTTGTCAAAAACGAGCTCACTGTAGGTGTGTAAATTTGTTTCTGTGTTCTCTATTTTGTTCCATTGGTCTATGCATCTGTTTTTATGCCAGTACCATGCTGTTTTAATTATTATAGTTCTGTAGTATAATTTGGAATTATGTAATGTGATTCCTCTAGTTTTGTTCCTTTTGCTCAGGATAGCTTTGGCTATTCTGGGTCTTTTGCAGTTCAATATAAATTTTAGACTCATTTCACCTATTTCTGTAAAGAATGTTGTTGGGCATTCTTTTTATTGGACAGAGATGGCATTTGGACAGAGATGGCATTCAGTCTGTAGGTTGCTTTGGGTAGTTTGTACATTTTAACAATATTAGATCTTTCCATTCATGAGCATGGAATATCATTTTATTTTTGCGTCCTCTTCAATTTCTTTCATCAGTGTATTATAGTTTTCATTGTAGAGGTCTTTCCCTTGTTTGGTGAAGTTAAATCCTAGGCATTTATTTAAGGCTGCTATAAATGGGATTACTTTTTAAATTTCTTTTTTGAATTGTTTAGTGTTGGCATGTAGAAATGCTACAGATTTTTGTATATTGATTTTATCTCCTGTAACTTTATCAAATTTGTTTATCTGTTCTAATAGTTTTCTGGTGGAGTCTTTACGATTTCCAAATAAGAAGAAAATATGATCTGCAAACAAAGATAATTTGACTTCTTTCTTTTTAATTTAAATGTCTTTTATTACTCCTGCCATTTTGTTATTTGTTGTCTGCTTGTTTTATGATCTTATCTTCCTTTTTTCCTTTTCTTCTGTCTTGCTTTTAGCAAAGGTGATTTTCTCTTGTAGTATGATTCAATTTTTTGCTTTTTACTTTTTGAGTATCCATTGTATGGATGCCATGAGGTCTGCAAATACTATCTTATAACTCATTATTTTAAACTGATAACAGCTAAATACTGATTGCATAAACAAACAACCATGGAAAAAGAAAACTAATAAAAACTGTATACTTTAGTTGCATCATCTCAATTTTTAACTTTTTGTTGTTTCTCTTGATGTCTTCATGTACTGTCTGCATCTTGAAAAGTAGTCGTAGTTATTATTTTTGATTGGTTTAGTCTTTCTAATTAAGAGATGTTTACACATCACAATTACAGCGTTATAATATTCTGTGTTTTTCTGTGCTCTTACTATTACCAGTGAGTTTTGTATCTTCAAATGATTCTTTCTTGCTCATTTAAGTCCTTTTTTTCAGATTGAAGAACTTGGTTTAGCATTTCTTGTAGAACATGTCTGGCATTGATAAAAGCCCTCATCTTTTTTTTGTTTGTCTGGGAAAGTTTTTATTCATCTTTTTTGCTTGAAGGACATTTTCACTGGATGTGCTTTTTTAGGGTCAAAGTTTTTTCCTTTGGCATTTTAATTATGTCACGCCACTCTCTTCTGGCCTGTAAGGTTTCCACTGAAAAGTCTGCTGCTAGATATATTGGAGTATATTATTTGTTTCTTTCTCTTGCTGCTTTTAGAAATCTGTCTTTATCTTTGACCTTCGGAAGTTTGATTATCAAATGTCTTGAGGTAGTCTTCTTTGGGTTAAATCTGCTTGGTGTTCTATAACTTTCTTGTACTTGAAGGTTGATATTTTTCTTTAGGCTTGGGAAGTTTTCTGATATTACTCCTTTGAAATAAACTTTCTATCCCTATCTCTTTCTCTACTTCATCTTTAATGCCAATAACTTTTAGATTTATCCCTTTGAGCCTCTTTTCTAGATCTTGTAGTCATGCTTTATTGTTTTTTTTCCTTCCTACATTTCCTGTGGCTGTATACTTCCAAATAAACTGTCTTCAAGCTCATTAATTCTTTATTCTGCTTGATCAATTCTACTATTAAGGGACTCTGACGCATTCTTTAGTATATCAATTATATTGTTCAATTCCAGAGTTTCTGCTTGATTCATTCTAATTATTTCAATCTCTTTGTTGAATTTACCTGATAGAATTCTGAGTTCCTTCACTGTGTTATCTTGAATTTCTTTGAGTTTCATTAAAACAGCTATTTTGAATTCTCTGGACAGTTACAGACATAGAATTTTGGAAGAATTCTCTAGATTATCAGATGGGCGCTTGTTCTTTTTCCTTATTTTGTCCCAAACAAAAGAGTCTCTCTTTCTGTGCTGAGCCATCTGGAACTGGGGTGGAGAGACACAAGCACCCCTGTCACCACCACCGCTATTTCAGACCTGAAGCCAGCACAGCACTGGGTCTCTCCCAAGATGCTCTGTAATCACTAACTGGCTACAACCTCTGTTCACTCAAGGCCCTAGGGCTCTGTGATCAGCAGGTGGCAAAGCCAGACAGGTTTGTGTTCTTCCATTCAAGGTGGTGAGCTCCCCCAGGTTCTCTACAGGCCCAGAAATGCTATTTGGGAGCCAGGAATTGGAGTAAAAAATCTTAGTAATTTGCCTGTTGTTCTATTCTACTGTAGCTAAGCTGGCATTTAAACCACAATACAAAGTCCTTCCTGCTTTTCCCTTCCCTTCCCACAGGCAGAGGAGACTTTCCCTGTGGCCACCAGCACCACAGGCCCATGGGGCATTCTACCAGGCCACCACTGATGTTCACTTAAAGCCTCAGGGCTCATCTGTCAGTTTGTGATTAATGCTACCAGGCCTGAGACTCACCCTTCAGGGCAGTGGGCTCCCCTGTGGCCCATGACAGGTCCAGAAATGCTATCCAAGAGCCTAGGCCTAGACTCAGAGACCCTAAGACCTTGATTATTGCTCTAACCCACTGTGGCCAAGCTGGTACCTAAAGTGCAAGGCAAAGTCCCCTTTACTTTCTCCCCTGCTTTCATCAAACTGTAGGAGTCTTTCAGCATAGTCACCACAGCTGGGAATGTGTTGGATCACAGCTGAATTCAGGACATCTTAGAGCCCAAGGCGCATTGCATACTACCTGAGTATTGATTATTAAGGACACAAAGACTCTTTAGTCAGCAGGTGACAAATTCTGCCAGGACTGGATCCTTCCCTTTATGTCACTGGGTTCTCGATTGGCTAGGGTATGTCTAGAAATGTCATCTGAGAGCCAGGGCCTGGGGTGGGTATCTCACATCTTTACCTGGTGCCCTGTCCTACTATGGGTGAGCTAATATCCAAGGTGCAATACAAAGTCTTCTTTACTCTTCTCTCTCCTTTTCTTAAGCAGAAAAAAGAAATCACTTTCATTGCTGTGAGCTGTGCAGCCTGGGGTTTGCCGGGAGGTGAGACAAACACCCCCTTAGCCACCTGGCTAGTAACTTTCCAGGTTAATGACTCTGAGCCTAGCCCAGCACAAGGAGTTCCCTAGTAATTGTAGTTCTTGAATCCTAGACTGCCTTTCAAGTCTACCAAGGACCCCAGAGCACTTTGGCTAGCAGTGACGAGGCTTGCTGAGCAACTCAAGTTTCAACCACTGGGATAGATGATTCCTCTCTGGCTAGGGCTGGTTCAAATGCTCCCACCATGCACAGGCACTGGCTGAGCCTATCACAGCTTTGTTCTCAACTATGACATGCAACACTGAGTTCAATGTAATGTCCCTCAGATGCTGTACTCTCCCTCCTCCAACACACAGACTCTCCATACTGCTGCATGGCCTCTGCCAGGGGATAGGGGAAGATTGGTGTCTACCATTCAAGACTGTCTCTCTGACCCACTTCAATGCCTCTTTCAGCAATAAGAAGTTAAAAGCAGGTACTGTGATTGCTCACTGAGTTTGGGAAACCACCTTTGAAATGATCTATACAGGAAATTTCAAAGTAAAAAGAATATGCACTTATTAATTAGGAAAAACATTATTTTGCTCCAATTTTTGACACATATTTCATCCACTGACATTGCAAGCCCCTGGAAGTAATTCTGGAGTAATATTTAAACTTGGTTCTGTATCATCATCATTGTTATTCTTATCATATATGAGATTATCCTAGTAAGTCTGAAAACAGTGGAAAATTACTTTATTCTGAAATTTAAATATGAAATCAATAAATATGATAGTGCAAAGGTATGAAATGTTATATTAATAACAAGTATGAAGCCTAAGAGACTTGGCAAACTGAAGGAACATAAGCAGACATTCGAGGAAAGTCTATGTCTAGACATACATTGAAATAAGAAAAAAGAGTCACAGAGGCAGGGGTGACAGTACCCATTCCTCTTCACTTTGTGGGAGAGAGCCTTAGCCAAATGATAACAACGCATTTAGTGATGGTGAAAGTATGCAAAGGGTTGTGTAATCAACGGACTTTGATACTTTCATCCATAAGCAGAAGTTTTTCCCTTAGGTTGGAGTTATTAGCTTGATGATATTACAAATTGATTTATCTCATTCTCCCTCATTTGATTCTATGTCCACTTAGCATTCTTCTGATTATACTTTTGGCCAGGTTGCTGAAAGAAAATACTCTCACTATATTAATGCAAATATTCTATTTCTTATAAAAGTTATATTTCTCAAAACTAAATTAATATTTTGGACTTATATAATGGTTTCTTAAGCATGTTAAAATCTCCACTGATAATGGGCATACCTTACATTATGGACTATAGTATATTCATTACTAACAAGCAATATCTCCAAAAAGACAGTCTACCAACCTTCTTTTAGGTAGAGATGAACACACATTGTCCTAAGAAGATAAAATTTTCTCTTTCTTTTGTGTTTTGTTTTGTATAGTTATTTAATTCTTACATTCTTAATTATCATTATCATCAGTAGAAAATACAAGGGTTAAGGATAACAAGAGCTAGTATTTGTTAGTATCTACTATTTTATTCCATTTGGACAGCTGGAACAAAATGCCATAAACTGAGTAGCTTATAAATGATTGAAATTTATTTCTCACAATTCTAGAGGCTGGGAAGTCCAGGATCAAGGCATTGGAAGATCTAGATCTGGTGAGGGCCCACTTTCTAATTTCTGTATGGCATCTTATAACTTTGTCCTCACATGGTAGTAGTAAAGAGCTACCTCTCTGGGGTCTCTTTTATAAAAGCACTTATTCTAGTTATGAAGGCTCTGCTCTCATAACCTAATCACCTCCCAAAGGCCCCACCTCCAAATGCCATAACCTTGGGGGTTAGGATTTTAACCATATGAATTTTAGAAGGAAAATAAAGATTCAGACAATAGCACATAGCATCTACTGTAAAGCCTACTTCACATGAAAAGGTAAAGAAATGCTGTGCCAAAAAGCATAGGTTTTCATTTCTTAGACACATTGATGAAAATTCCAGCTTGGCTACTTTCCAATTGTGTGATTTCAGAGGTTATTCTACAGCCTGAAGTCTGATTTTCTTCTGTAAAATGGGAGAAATAAAGGTACTCATCTCATGGGCCTGCCTCTTGGAATGTGGTAGGATTGTACCCATCTCCTTTCAAGGTTGCTGTAGCTACATAACTTACTTTCACTAATGCCACATAAGCAGAGGTAGTATGTGAGCTTCCATTTGAGATAATGGGTTGGAAACCAGAACACCATTTGTTATTTACCATTTCTCTGCCATGGTAAAGCCATGTGTCAAAATGGATCTTCCATTATTCCAGTTCTCTAAAAAGTACAATGATCAGAGCTACCTGTTGACTACATTGGGCAGAAAGTTAATAGTAAACCTGGTGATATTTGCAGCCTATATATTTTGATTGATATCCTACTGATAAATAGAACTCAAACCAAAATTGTCTGATTCTTTTTTTTAAAAAAAGTGCTTTTTTACCCTCTATATTTTGTCCATTATTAAAAACAATTTATTTAAGGCATTGTGCTGAACATCTGCTATACAAATTGAGAAAAATCTCTAGTACATGCTTTCATGGTGCTTTTGAACTTCAGAAAAAAATTGCATGTCAGAAGTATCTACCCTATATGAAAGAATATAAAGCACCTTTTTATTAAATGGCTTAATCAATATTTGCTACAGGAGATCAAATGGAGGGAAATATTTGGATTCAATTCATTACAGAAATCTTCAGGATGTAGAGGATTAGCAAATTGTTCTGAGTACCATGTTTTACATCTTCCATAGCAACTTCTTTCAGTTGAAATGACCAATTTATTAATCCAAGCAGAGGCTTGAAATATTCTTAACTGATTAGGCTTGTCGTCTCGGCTTCTGCAGTTGCTATGACAGAAACCTACCAGACCTAAAGGAGGATGAGAATTATGGAAAAGACGCACTGAGATGACCCACAAGGGAAGTAAGAGGTTCCTGCAGCTGAATTGTATACCCACAGGTGCAAAATGAGCTTAGTGAAATTTGTCGCTGAAATTTTGAGATCATTTGTTATATGGCAGTCTTGTGGCAATAACAGACTGATACATTATGAGATGTAATTTTTGAGGCTTCTAAATCTGTGAGAGAATCATAGTTCATTTTGATGTAGAATTTATGGGTCAATAACAGTATGTTGAATTTTTCCTTGGCACTGAACAAGGCTGAGACAGGTATTTCTGGAGTCTAAGACACAAATATTGGTTTCTGCCGAAGACTCTGATTAGTCTTACATATAGTTTAACTTGTTTGGGATATTAAGTATCCTATAAATAGGTCTGTATTTTTGCACTTTAAGGCCATGCACTTTTTATAAAGAACAAAACCCTAAATGGAAGTGTGGAGCATGGCATACTTACAAAGTTTTCATGATGGGATTAGTTCCCACAAAATCATTTTATAAGTGTCGAATGTAATTATGGGAAAAAAATGATGCAAAAATTAAAAGAAGATAAGCAAAATTATGTATTTTGTATCATTTGGCTTTTTTTCTGATTTGGCTCAGAATAACTTTGATAAAAACAAATATTTTTTAGTTAAATTTTGTGCACTATAGGGGAAATATGGAAAAATTAAATATGTTTAAATTTATGTAAGTGCTCTTTAAAAAGAGTACAGTGGCACATACTCTTTTTAAATTCAATACAATAAGTGCAATAAATATTGAATATTTCAAACAATAAAGGTGTGAAATAAACCAAGTAATGGTCACATGTTTGGGGACACATACAAAATGCATCTTATATGTGCCATTTGCTCACTAATAGATTTCTTACGGAAACTAGTACTCTTATCTGTGTTATATACTTCCTTGAAAGGCATAAAGAGTAGAATTTATGTTTTAGCTACCCAAATATTTTCAAAAGGTGACTGTCCTTTATTTATGTAAAAAAGAAATCAAGTAATATAATTTCTGTGTTTATAGTTTGAGTACTCCTTTTATTCCTTAGAACTATTCTAGTCAATTACTAATAACAGTATTTTCTAGGCTACTTAAACCACTTTAACATCAAAGACTTGTTGGGTGTCTAGTATTAGTCTAAGTCCTTTGACCCTTCACAAGAACCATGAGACTATATAGAACTCTATAAAAACCGAGTTCCTGTTTCATACATAAAATTTTCTACTGTACCTGTCTCCTTGCATATCTAATTGGTAGCTCAAATTTAAGGAATTTAAAATAAAATTTCTAATTTCTCATTACTTTTTCTTTCTCTGAGTCCTTCCAAAACAAGCTTATTAAGCCCATTCTTTCCCAGTTTGATGATGGCATCACTATCTGCTTAGTTGCTTGAAGAAAACTAAACAAAATAATTACATACACAGCAAAACTTTGCATTTGTTCTCTGCTCTGGCTAAACATATTTCTTCCAGTTCCCTACTCAGATAGCTTCCCCAGTTATCCTCTATCTTATTACCTATCATATATTCTCTGGAACTTATCTGAAAGATGAGTTCTATACTTATAGCTGTTAAAAGAAGTTAAAATTGCATATGAAGCCTGATACATATTCTGAAGGACTGTTCAATTTAGTTGTGGAAATACAGTCTAATATGCAAATTCCTTTTTTTATTTTTTGTTTTGTACATGTAATTGTGTGCTAAGACGAGGCTACATGCAGGACATATGATGCACAATTAAAGGAGACGTGGTTACTAAACCTTATGGTATTTACAGTCAGGCCATAAAGGCAGACATTAATTGGGAGAAAAAATGCAGGTACAATGTAGCAGGAATAAATAATGATTGTCCACTGTGATAAAAACCTTTAAAGAAACATTTATGCTCACATTTGAAAAACTAAGGAGTGCAAATCAAGGGTAAAAGAGGAACATTCTAGACAAGAGAAGCAGTGTGTATGGGGAACTTACAGACAAAACAGAGCTTCAGAGAGAGGGCTTAGTAGCTGGAACACAGTGTCAGAAGAGATGCCAACAGGGAGGCTGGGGGGTGAGGGAGGGACCAGAATATCTGAGGCCTTATATGTTCCTTCTTACTAATAGTAATAAGAAATTCTGGAGGGCTGTAAGCAATTAAGTGATAAAATTTTCATTTTTAAAGAATCACTCTGGGATCTCTGTGGGGAATGGATTATAGCCCAGCAAGAGTGGATATAGGGGGACAGGTCAAGTGCTAGTACAATATTGCAAACCATGGGTGATAATGATAGCCCTAAAAGAACCAAGTAATAAATGTTAACTCCATATTATTATTATTATTATTAATTTTATTTCCACTTTGCTCGCAGTGTTACAGTATAGGGCATAGAGATATAGGTAGAGAATAGAGGACATAGTATAGAGAATAGAAAATGGTTGGGACAAGAAATTCACATAGTAAAGCTGACAGTGTATTTGCCTGTAACTTTCATGTACATCACAACATTCAACTTATAAAATGATCTAACATGTGTCATGAGTCTCTCTGGACCATGGAAATTTCACTAGTTCACTTGAGGGGAGATTATTAATATCAGTGAGAAATAAATTTGAAAAAATTTCAGAAACATGTTAAGGGAATATTATTGACTTTGCACAAATATCTATCATTCTAGGATGAAGAACACATTCTTATTAACCTTCTCCTTCAATTTAAGCAGATTAAAAGACCTTGTGAGTTCCAGCATGTCTCTGACCCCCATTCCTCCCAAGTTCTAAATAGATTCCTCTGAGATGTCACTGATTCATCTCAAGCCTGGAACTTGGGTTCATTCTTCCTGGCTTGGCCGATTGTTCACCTAACCCCTTTGCTGTGACAAATCTTAGCAAAACTAGAGGCCTAAACACAGACGCCTTTCCCCCCTCATAGTTTTCTTCAAAGCCAAAGTCAGCACTGAGTTAGGCAACTTTACTTTCAGACACCTGTGTTGCCTCAGGGGCCACCTTGACATACATATGTCAAGAGAATTACTGATTCTATATCTGATGATGTCCTGATTCCACTTTCACCATACAAAGCAGAGATCAAAGGTGTCACTCACAGATACTCATCTATTCTGCCTTAGCTATTAAATAACTGTCTAGTCATTCATGTGAAGAGCCTCTTGTTTCCCAAGTGATGTGTGTGGTTTCAAAAGACACATCTTGAACAGGATTTATTATCAATCAGTCAGGCATATGGAAAATAAATCAGTGAAGAGTATCCAATACATTGGGGTAAAGTTCTTCAGAGATGACAAGCGACTATTTAAATATCAATCTTTCTTTAGGCCCACTCTTTGGAAATGACCTCAGTACACAAGATTCTTAAGAAGTATTTTCTCCCTTCCCAGGTAAGAAATAGCATTCTTTGAATCCCATCTTCCTTGATATTAAATACATATGGTAAACCCAGGATGAGAGAGTAATAGGTAATTCTCATAGATTGATCATATACTTTTTTCTCTTCTTAATCTAGTCTGCTTCCACAGAGGCTATTCTCACAGTTTCACTACCCCTGTGTATATGTCTGTATAAACAAATTTGAATTTGTGTATTAAATCCTGATTACCCACTAAAGTGCCAGACTTCATAATTCAAGTGACTACTGAACATACTCACTCACATCTCCCAGAGACACCTTTGCCTGAACATTCCCACAGCTGAACGTGCCATTCTTCCCCAATGCTGCTTCTCTTTCAGTTTCTTCTATCTTGGTTAACGATGTCACCATCACCAATTATTCAAACCAGAAACCTGAAACTCATCTTGAGCTCTTTCTTCTAACTCACCTCCAACATTGAAGCCATTGTCAGGCTTATGGATCTACTGTTCCAATTTGAATCTGTCTCTCCACTTCTGCTAATATGCTTCAGAGCCCCTTTTCCTAAAGTTCCCTGTAATTCTTTAGCCATAACTCTTACCAAATGTTTTGGTAATTTAAAAAATAAATTCAATTTCCTCCATTGGACTTTAAGCTTTGAGGTAAAATTTCAAAATGTCTGACTTATTCATAGGTATGATCTCATTTAACGGTTGGTTGCCTCGCATTTGATAAATATTTGTTAAAAGAACACTTCACTAAATAATTTCATTAGAATTATTGTTACTAGGCCACTAGAAAAATATTGATCACATGCCAACTCTATTCAATACCACGTTCTATGGACTGGATAGAGAAAAATGAACAAGACAGCATCCCTGTTTTTATTGCACTCACATGAATACATAAATCATAAGTGAAAATGTAATTAAAAATCTCTATCCTGAAATTAAAGCATTCCAATAATTTAGGGATATAAATGAGACTACACAGGCCTGTATGTGTTAATGTGGGTTGTTTTAACAAAGTCAAACGTTTATAATCACTCAGATATGGTAAAAGCTTATTTCTCCTTCATGAAAATTCCAAAATTGCTATTCCTGATTAGTGGACAGCTCTTCTCCAAGTGCTAACCCAGATGCTTAGAACTCTTCTATTCTATGGCTCTGATAATCTGCAACATGGCAATGTTAAAATAATTGTGATGATAACCATCCAGTTAGTGGCATTGGAAATAATACAGAGGATCATCTTTAGGAGATTTTTCTAGGCTCACCCCATACTTGTGCTTGCATTCCACTAGTTAGAAACCAGTGATATGGTCATGCCTAACTACTAGAGTCATTGGCAACATAGACTAGCTGAGTGCCCAGGAAACAGAGAAGTGTCTTGTTGGGTCTCAGTGTAGACACTGAGAGTGTCTGGCTAGTCGCTGCCACAAAAATGTGGGCATAAAACTTTTTATTCCATAAAATATTCAGGGTACTAAAGGAAATACTTATGTCCCAGATGACAAGAAAGATCTTAAAAATGTTTCAGTCCTCTACCCTGAAAATCATGATCTAAGTTTTATTGAGTCCTAACACAGTCAAGATGTGCTGGGTTTTGGTTAGAAAAATTTATGTTTGTGAGTTCAGCTTCTTGCTTACCAAATTGTCAGTGTTTTATTTGTCCTAGAACAGGGTACAACTATAAAATATTTTTTTTCCAAAAGTGACTCTTTCTCTTAAAATAAAAGGATTTTATATTTGAAAGAAATTGTGAAGCCAGGAAAGCAATTTTTTTCACAAAGTTTAGATATTACTTTCCGGTTGTTTTTTTTTTTTTTTTTTTTTTTTTTTTTTTTTTTTTTTGAGACATGGTCATGCTCTGTTGTCTAGGCTGGAGTGCAGTGGCATGAACGCAGTTCACTGTGGCCTCGGTTTTCTGGGCTCAAACAATTCTTCGACCTCAGTCTCCCAAGTAGATGGAACTGTAGGCACACACCATGATGCCTAGCTAATTTTTCTTTTTATTTTTTGCAGAGACAGGGACTTGCTTGTTTCCCAGGCTGGTCTCAAACTCCCAGCCTCAAACAATCCTCCCACCTTGGCCTCCCAAAATATTAAGACTACAGGTGTGAGTCACTTCACCTGGCCTGCTGAATCTATTAAGGGTGATAATTTTATGAATTTTATGAATATTTTCTGAGATGAGACACTGATCATATCACCAAATATCCTATTCCTTCCTTACAAAACAATCAAAAACTTACTTTAAGTATTTTTTATTTTTTGAGACAGAGTTTCACTCTAGTTACCTATGGCTGGAGTGCAATGGCACAACCTCTGCTCACTGCAACCTCTGCCTCCCGAATTCAAGTAGTGATTCTCCTGCCTCAGCCTCCCGAGTAGCTGGGATTATAGGTGCTCGCCACCTCACCCAGCTAATTTGTTTTGTATTTTTAGTAGAGACAAGGTTTCACCATGTTGGCCAAGCTGACTTGAACTCCAGAACTCAGGTGATGCACCCGCCTTGGACTCCCAACGTGCTGGAATTACAGGCTTGAGCCACAGTGCCTGGCCATCTGAGGTCTTTTGTGTTGTTCTGATTCCTCTATGAAAAAAACAAGCATTTTTTTCCACCTAATGATTATTTCTACAGTTTTCTCCAAAATATTCATTCTAATTAGCTCTTATCTTCTCCAAAATTAACCCACTTAATGCTGCTTTGGTTTACCTAGCTGATTTTAAAGGAGTTTCTCAAATTCCATTTCCAAATTGAATATAATTTTCTCATTTTAATAGCTTAGTTTCTAAAAGAATCTCCAAATATCTAGTACATTTATTTATATTTTGAAACAGACAAAGATTACATTAATTTATTTATCAAATACATCACATTGTCATATGGTGTGGAACTTGTGATCAAATAAAATTTTCAAGGATTTTCTCACATAAACCTCTGTGAAAACTCTTCCTCATATGTTTATGAAAGCAATGTTTAGTGCTATGAAGTCATCTATTGTGCACCTTGATTTTAGCATTGATTATTTTATTTCATATTCATTCTAGTTTATATGCTCACTATTCTTCTTCTTCCTTCCCATATAGATATGTACTGAGAAGAAATCCTGAATGTTGGCACAAAAGCTCATTAGAACAATGTCTAATGCTTACTATCATGTCTAATAAGTAAATAAATAGATAGACATACATCTTGTAAAGACATATTTAACAAAGTTAATTAAGTCTTACTCCTATTAAATTTATCCTAGGGTTTGAATCTTTTGAAATCAACTTATATTGTAAAGATTTTATCTCACACATTGTTTTCTGAGTGTTTTGTTACGTCCGGCCTTGAAAATGCCCCTTTCTATGTTTTTGTCTAAAATATTTGTAAAAAAGCTGATGCTAGAATATTAATATAGATTCCTGCATTGCACCACTAAAAATCTCCTCTAGCTTGGGAAGTGTTCCATTAGCAGAGAATTCACTCAATGGTGTTAATGACTACATCAGGATTGTCCTCCTAAGAATGCATTTCTTCTTTTATGGCTTCACACATAGATGATGCTGTAAGGAACACAAAGTGGGACAGAGAAGAATCCCATTATCCACGAGGAATGCCATTCTTCCTGGGAGGGTTAGAGGTGAAGTTGATGTCAGAGATATGAAGATGCTGATAGAATCTCTGGGGTATAGCGTGGATGTGAATGAAAATGTCACTGCTTCAGTAAGTTTTATCATACACAGAGACAATGGTAATGGCTTTCATATTCCTAAATTATGTTAGAAAGCTTAGTTGTAGGACCAGAGAATATAATCTCTTCATAATCTAAAATCCAAATTTGCCATTGGAGGATGCCGGATGCTACATGTTCTCTTATAACATAAGGATTATTCAGCTAAAGCCTGGTATAACTTAATTGGGGAGTGTTTTATTAACTCAATAATGCTTCCTTCTCTCTATATCTCTGGATGATTTCCTATAACACTTTCTTCCCTTTTCTCCAAACTAAGACTAAAATTTTTCTTGCCTCTCCATTGTTCATCATAAAATTCCTTAAGAAATCCCTTATGTATTTATTTATTTGATTTCTAAGGTGCCATGATAGTGAATTACACAGTCCAAAATCAGTGGTATAGTGCCTTTTAGGAGATGACTACAGAGCTGAAGGCATTTGCTCATTGCCCAGAGCACAGGACCTCTGACAGCACTTTCCTGGTGTTCACGTCTCATGGTATTTGGGAAGGCATTTGTAGGAAAAAATACTCTGAGTAACTCCCAAATATATTAGAAGTCAATGAAATTTTCCAAATGTTGAATACCAGGAACTGTCCAAGTTTGAAGGACAAACCCAAGGTGATCTTCATCCAGGCCTGCTGCGGTGGTGAGTGCTAATGTCTTTAAGAACACCAGACATTCAACCACTGACTTCATCTGTATGCATCCAGGATTTTTCAGTTTCTTTATGTCTGTCTTTTAATGTCAAAGAACTCATACTGTCAGTACTGAAGATTGTGGCTTCTGTGAATTAGATGGCTGGCTGGTAGATATTCGTTCTGATGACTTTATCTTGCCCAAATTCCTATCTAAGGGGTCTGGGGAGCCAGGCCCTACAAACCATAAATTCTCATCAGATGGATTTTCTTTAACCCTGTGTATCGTGACTTTAGAATCTCACCCTGGCATATCATTATGTGACAAGGAGGAAAGTCAAAATATTTTACCCCAAAACATGTTTCTTTGCTATATTTTGAAATGGCCCTGCAAAGTTGTCCTTTGTGCCGGAAAATTTGCATCTGTAAAGAATCTCTGTTAACATAGCTAGATCATTTTCTTCCAGGCTTTCCTAATCCTGAAGAGATTAACTAAGAGTCTAGCACCTTTTAAAGGTCTGAATAGGAAACATTTGTCATCTGTTTTCTCTAAGGCCCGTCACTACAAGACTTCAAAAGAACCTTGGTCTCCACAATCTTTTATCTTAACCTGAGCATTTTCTTTCTATCGATTTTAAGTCTTTAGGCAAACTCAACCAATTATCAACCAGAAAATGTCTAAATTTACCTGTAGCCTGTAGTCCCACACTTTGAGTTGCCCCAACTTTTTGGACCAAATGAATGTATTTCTTAAATGTATTTAATTGATATCTCATGCCTCCCTAAAATGTATAAAACCAAGCTGTACCCCAACTACCTTGGGCATATGTTCTCAGGACCTCCTTGAGGGCCTGTGTCATGGGCCATGGTCACTCATATTTGGCTAAGAATAAATTTGTTCAAACATTTTACAGAGTTTTACTCTTTTCATTGACAATAATTTGGTGATCAAACATGTGGCACCTCAGAGAAGACTCAGGACCCGGAAGGAGTTGCCCAAATATGGAGCTATGGTAGTAGCAGGGCCCATTGAAGCCTACATGACTTCAAGCTTCTCATCTGGTGGAACTGGTAAGTCCTCCTGAGCCCCCGACTTCTCTTTGGTTGATGGTCTTTGATTTATCTTAGCTGGTTTTTCTCCTAGAAAGTTGTAGTTTCAGGATTTTAATTATAGTTTGGAGATGATTTTCAAGGAATTCTCTCTATTGCTTTGTCTCCCAAAATTAATCTTAATTCACTTTGCACATTTGCATGAGGAACTGAATTGTTGATTTCACCGGTTAATGAGAAACTGAGTTTTCTCAACTTTTTTTGAAGAGAAAGGGCATTTGCTCCTCCTAGCCAAAAGGCACCCCTGGGTATGTCTGGGGGTTGACCCCCTTGTGACATGCAGTAGCCCTGTAGGAAAATCCCCAACAAAAATTAATTATAAAAATGGCTTGTCCAGGAAATGAATATCAGGCTGATTACCCAGTGTTTTGAGCCCTCTCAGAGTTTGTAGAACTCTGGAGAGAGAAACTGAGACATGTACAAGGGTAGACCTGACTCAATGGTGACACACTGTAGAGTCCTGCCCACGAGCAGTACAAATCGATCCACCACACAAAAACCCTAGGCCACAGCTCAGTTTCTCCTTTTAAGAAAAAAAAAAAAAAGCAGGAAACAAATAATCTAAGAATGAGTAGAAAACAAGGAGGAAAAGCCTATTTTGAGCACTTTGTAGGTTTTTTTGGCACCTCTACTTGCCAGAGCATTGGGGGAAACCCATCCCTGATAATTCTTTGTGGGCACTTATCTATTTCCCTAAGTGTCGGCCAGTCTGAGAAATAAAGGGAAAGAGTACAAAAGAGAGAAATTTTAAAGCTGGGTGTCCGGGGTAGACATCACATGTCGGCAGGTTCCATGATGCCCCCTGAGCCACAAAACCAGCAAGTTTTTGTTAGTGATTTTCAAAAGGGGAGGGAGTGTACGAATAGGGTGTGGGTCACAGAGATCACGTGCTTCACAAGGTAGTAAAATATCACAAGGCAAATGGAGGCAGGGTGAGATCACAGAACCAGGGTGAAATTAAAATTGCTAATGAAGCTTTGGGCACGCATTGTCATTGATAACATCTTATCATGAGACAGGGTTTGAGAGCAGACAACCAGTCTGACCAAAATTTATTAGGTGGGAATTTCCTCATCCTAATAAGCCTGGGAGCACTATAGGAGACCGGGGCTTATTTCATTCCTTATGACAACCGTAAAAGACAGACATCCCTAGAGCAGCCATTTTAGAGACCTCCCCCTAGGAACGCATTCTGTTCCTTGCTGAGAAAAAGAATTCAGCAATATTTCTCCTATTTGCTTTTGAAAGAAGAGAAATACGGCTCTGTTCCGCCCAGCTCTCAGGCAGCCAGACCTAATGGTTATCTCCCTTGTTCCCTGAACGTCGCTCTTATCTTGTTCTTTTTTCAAGGTGCCCAGATTTCATATTGTTTAAACAATTTGTGCAGTTAACGCAATTATCACAGGGTCCTAAGGCGACATACACCCTCAGCTTACAAAGATGATGGGATGAAGAGATTAAAGTAAAGACAGGCATAGGAAATCACAAGAATATTGATTGGGGAAGTGATAAGTGTCCATGAAATCTCCACAATTTATGTTCAGAGATTGCAGTAAAGACAGGCATAAGAAATTATAAAAGTATTAATTTGGGGAACTAATAAGTGTCCATGAAATCTTCACAATTTATGTTCTTCTGCCATGGCTTTAGCCGGTCCCTCTGTTCAGGGTCCCTGACTTCCCACAACACCAGAGTTTATGTGAAATGGAAGTAAATCATCTTTGTGCACATTTACATTAAGAAGAAAGAGCCCAAAGGTTGAACCACAAACTATAGAGTTCCTAGGTCCTATTATCTTTTCTGCCTGCTTTAAATCTACCATTACTTTTCTTCTGAGATAAAAACCACTCTTTGTCTTTGTTTCTGTTAGACCGCTTTTCATTTCTGTATTGAGTATCTTAAGTACTGTAGAAAAGATGTCACTTCTTCCTTTAAGGCTGTCTTGTAATATATATAAGGACTGGAATTGTGTTTCTAAAGAAAAGCATTCAAGTATGACAATATACTACCTGTGTTTTCACCATTAAAAGTGCTGTTTAGTAGTTTAAACTTAAACTATTTAATGTCATTTAATAAAGTGACCAAAATGTGTTCTTTATTGTATTTTCACAGCTTTGAAAAAATAAATAATTCAACCATATATCCCTAATATTTCACAGCCTCCTTAAGAATGTATAACAGTCAACAAACATAAAAGAAATAGCAGACAGAGTATGAGATGCTGAAGAAACACTACAGTGCACTGAATGCAAAATTATGCACTTGTGTTGTGCAGGGGAAATAGTTTGGGGTTAAATCAGTCACTCAGTGATGTGAAGATTTTGAAGAACTGGAAGAACTACAAATTCAGTTGCAATCATGAGCCTTTTCTAATCCCAAACTCATTAAAAGTGAAGGCGAATTTCTGACCTCTTGCAATCCTTCAATGTTAAGCTTCATACTGCCATTTTATTTTAATATTTTTTTAAGTTCTGGAATACATGTGCAGGATGCGCAGTTTGTTACATAGGTAAACGTGTGCCATGGTGGTTTGCTGCACAGATCAACCCATCACCTAGTTATTAAGCCAAGCATGCATTATCTCTTTTCCTTAATGCTCTCTCGCATCCCCCATCCTCTTATCTGGCCTCCATGTGTGTTGTTCCCTTCCCTGAGTCCATGTGTTCTTATTGTTCAGCTCCCACTTATAAGTGAGAACATGCAGTGTTTGGTTTTCTGTTCCTGCATTAGTCTGCTGCGGATAACATCTTCCAGCTTCATTCTTGTCCTTGCAAAGGACATGATCTCATTCATTTTTATGGCTGCATTGTATTCCATGGTGTATATGTGTCACATTTTCTCTATCCAGCCTACCATTGATGGGCATTTTGATTGATTTCATGTCTTTGCTATTGTGAATAGTGCTGCAATGAACATATGCATGTATGTAATGTATCTTTATAATAGAATGATTTATATTCTTCTGGGTGTATACCCAGTAATGGTATTTCTTGGTCAAATGGTATTTCTGTTCTAAATGACTCACCACACACTCTTCCACAATCATTGACCTAATTTACATTCTCACCAACAGTGTCTCTTGAATACAGCACACTGATGAGTCCTGTCTTTTTGTCCAGCTTGCCATTGTGTGTCTTTTAATTGGGGAATTTGGCCCATTTATTTTAAGGTTAATATTGGTATGTGTGAATTTGATTCTGTCATCATGATGTTGCCTGGTTAATTTTGCAGACTTGTTAATGTAGTTGCTTCATAGTGTCATGGGCCTGTGTATTTTAGTGTGTTTTTATAGTGGCTGCTAACAGATTTTCCTTTCCATGACTACTGTTTCCTACAGGATGTCTTTCAAGGCAAGCCTGGTGGTGACAAAATCCCTCAGCATTTGCTTGTCTGAAAAGGATTTTATTTCTCCTTCACTTATGAAGCTTAGTTTGGCCAGACATTAAATTCTGGGTTGGAAATTATTTTCTTTATTAATGTTGAATATTGGTCTCCAGTCTTTTCTGGCTTGTAGGATTTCTGCTGAGAATTCCACTGCTAGTCTGATGGGCTTCCCTCTGTAGGTGACCTGGCCTCTCTCTCTGGCTGCCCTTAACATTTTTTCCTTTCATTTCAACCTTGGAGAATCTGACGATTATGTGTCTTGGGATTGATCTTCTTGTGGAGTATCTTACTGGGACTGTCTGAATTTCCTGAATTTGAATGTTGACCTGTCTTGCTAGGTTGGGGATGTTCTCCTGGATGATATCCTGAAGTGTGTTTTTTGACTTGGCTCCATTCTCCACATCTCTTTCAGGTACTTCAATCAGTCATAGGTTTGGTCTTTTTACATAGTCCCATAGTTCTGGAAGGTATTGTTCATTGCTTTTTATTTTTTTCTGTAATCTTTTCTACCTGCCTTATTTTAGCAAGATAGTCTTCAAGCTCTGATACTCTTTCTTCTGCCTGGTTGATTTGGCTATTGATACTTGTGTTTGAATCATGAAGCTCTCACGCTGTGTTTCTCAGCTCCATCATGTCATTTGTATTCCTCTCTAAACTGGTTATTCTAATTAACAGTTCCTGTAATCTTTTATCACGGTTCTTAGCTTCTTTGCCTTGGGTTAGAATATAATCCTTTAGCTCAGCAAAGTTTGTCATTACACACTTTCTGATACCTACTTCTGTCAGTTCATCCATCTCAGCTTCAGCCCTGTTTTGTGCCCTTGCTGGAGAAGTGTTGAAATCATTTGAGGAGAAAAGGCATTCCAGCTTTTGGAATTTTCAGCGGTTTTGCGTTGGTTTTTCGTCATCTTTGTGGATTTATCTACCTTTAATCTTTAAAGCTGTTGACCTTTGGATGGGATTTTTGTAGGGTCTTTTTTGTTGATGCTGTGTTATTGTTGTTTTATTTTTTTTTGTTTTTCTTCCAACATTCAGGCCCTTCCTCTGCAGGTCTGCTGCAGTGTGCTGAGGATCTACTCCAGACACTGTTCACCTATGTATCACCAATGGAGGCTGCAGAACAGCAAAGAGTGCTGCCTCCTCCTTCCTCCGGAAGCTTCTTCCCAGAGGATCACTGACCTGACGCCTGTTGGAACTCTCCTGTATGAGGTGTCTGGCAACCCCTGTTGAATGGTCTAACCCAGTCAGGAGGCCCAGGATCAGGAACTCACTTAAGGAAAGAGTCTGGCTATCCCTTAGCAGAGATGGTGCACTGGGCTGGGGGAATCCCCCTTGTCTGGATCGCTGATACTCTTCAGAGCCAGCAGGCAGGAAAGATTAAGTTGGCTGAACCTGAGACCGCAGCTGCCCCTCTCCGCAGGTGCTCTGTACCAGGGAAATGAGAGCTCTGTCTGTAAACTCTAGGTGGAGTTGCTGAAATTCCTGCAAGCATTTCTTGCCGGGAGAGGAGGGATGGATCCCGGTCCCACCTAAAGAAGCAGTCTGGCCATGATCTGCCACAGCGGCTGTGCTGCACTGTGAAGACTGCTGCCCAGTCCAATCTGCCCAGCCTCCCTAGCACTGGTAGGGAAAAACCGCTGACTAGAGCTGCAGTAATGGCAGTCGCCCCTCCCCTGGGGAACTCGGTCATCTCTGGCGTACTCCAGGCTGCTATGCTGGCTAGTGGGGATTCTAATCCAGCGGATCTAAGCTTGCAGGCTTCTGTGAGAATGGACCTGCTGCAAGGCCATTTTGCTCCCTGGCTTCAGCCCCCTTTCCATGGGAGTGGACGGGACTCCTGCCTCACTAGAGTTCCGGGAGCTGCTGGACTATGTAAAAACTCCTGCAGCTCAGTGCCTGCCCAAAAAGCTGGAAATATGAACTATTGGGTTAATTCTTATCAGGAAATGAAAAAGAGTTGTTAGATTAAACTTCTTCAGTCATTGTCGTTCTTTGTAATCAGAGAAAGAAAAACTGAGAGATCAGGAAGAGAAGAGACAGATGGATAGAAGAAGTTTGGGTGGCCACAGGAAACAAGAAAAGAAACAAGCTGAGGTGTCAACCCACAGGATAATATTTTGTCATTTTCATTTTTTTCCCCCAAGTCAGAAACTAAATTCCAGTAATTGGATGCCAATTTGCTGATGACAAGGCACTTCCTGATAATGAGTCTGGAATTCTGAGCAGCAGTTTCACAATCTGTAATTACACGTTTCCGCCCTTTGCAATAAGGAAATACATAGTTTACTTTCATTTTTGACTCTGAGGCTCTTTCCAACGCTGTAAAAAAGGACAGAGGCTGTTCCCTATGGCAGGTGAGTCCTTTTCTGACTAGGAGTTTGGGAGTAGGAACTTAGAAAACACTTGATTTATTGCTCTGAAATAAACACAAGAAAGGAAGTGAGCCGATAGCACACATGTTGAATTCCTTTTCTTACTGATTGTGTGTAGTTTGAATCATGGGACCTGGTGTTAGAGATATTGACGGAGGTCATATGTTTTCCAGATGTCTTTGAGCCAGAAAGAAGTTAATTCCTTTCTTTCAGCTTCTGGTAATCAAAGGGAGGGTAAAGAAAGCCAGAGGAAGTTATTTGTGTGAGACAATTCTAGAAGTTTCGAAATGCACTCTGAAATCTTTCTTTTGATTCCAAATTAATTGCCCAGATCACAAACCTTTTTCGCAGAATCAGATCTGAGAGCCTCTGAATTGTTATCTTCTTCGACATCTCTTATTGTGAATTACATTCTTGGTCTGTTTAAAGTGATTCAATTTTTTCCTCTTTCTCGTTGGTCCTGATACTGACTACTTTAATATAATATTTCATGGGTTAATATCACAGTTGTTTTGTTTTGCCGTTGTTATTGTTTTTAACTGGTATCCTTCCCTCCAGGACTTAACTCTCCAATCCATTCTGCACACAACTTTTAGGTCACCTGTCTTATACACAGAAGCTGAAAAAGCCTAAGGGATAGAGTTACTTAGGCAGCTAGTATTCCAGCAGGTCATAACGCTTCTTTGGCTTCATTCTCCTCACAGGAAAAGGAAGAAATTGGACTAGATCAGTGAATTCTAAACCTTATAACATATCGCAGCAATCTGTAGTCATATAAAAAAAGTCAGATGACTACCCCCTTCCTCACCGCGAATAGCTCAATCTTAAATACCCTGCAGGCATTTATTACCTTTGAAGATCGTCACATAATTCTTATGAAACTGACTTGACATAGGTTTGTTCTATTAGGAAAGTTGACCAGTTAGTTAACACTCTCTGCTTATCTGCTAGTGATCTATTAATGTAATTAACTTTGCTCAGGGACATACAGTGGCTCCCTATTGCCTTTTCTCTTTTTTACTATCTGAACTTTCAGACAATTTTTTCTACCTTTTGAAACATGTGTATCCAGTTTTTCCATTAATCTTTGTAAAGCATGATTTCAACTTCATAAAAAAATACTGTATTTACTTCACTCATATTACCTTGTTGTTGTTTCTTTACTCCTTTGATTCTCCCTATAGAACAATTCTCTCCGGGGTTTATGTCTAACTTCACAACATTTAACTTAAGCTCTGGAATCAAGGGATCATTAGATAAAGATAGGGTAAATTGAAAGCCACTAGTCAAAAACAAGTCGTGGTTTGATAATTATAAACAACCAAATGTAGACAGCTATTATTACCTTAAACTCTTGAGGAATTGTATCCTGTAATGTGTTTAAGCATTACATCACTTTGCCTGGAACCAAAACTGTGGTCCTGATAAGTTTTTTCCTCTAATTGATTCCTGCCATTTTTATTATCACTGCAGCTTTCATTCAGTGATTATTATAATAACAAAAAATAATCTATAGTAACCATTTCTTTAAAAAATACTTACCATATGATAGCTAATTCATGCACTCTCTCTGATTTAATATTTAACATCAATCAATACAGTTGTGCTATTATTTCCATATTGTAGTTGAAGGGGATACTTAGAGAATGCCTCCAAAATATGCTTTAGGTCAAAAGTCTGTTGAGAGGAGTGGTCTCAGGTTGGCATGACTCTCAAACTCTGCCATTAATCTAACTTTCTGCAAACATCTTCAAATACTTGCCCTGTCTCTGATCACTGCCACTTCAGTCCTGGCCTCACATTTCTATTCCTTCTAAAGCCCAGCTCTCCCAGTTTTCTGGTTACACGAGACACCCTCAAGCCTTTGTGCTTTTTTCCTTACTGCTCTCTGCCAAAAGACCAGCTCCTAGTTTTCCAGGGGACAAATTCCTACCAGTCCTTCAGGTCTCAGTGCCAAGCCCTCCCTTCTCTGGACAGCTGTACCTGAGACACACTTTGCTTATGCTTTTCTTGAGCTTCTGCTAATTATTTACATTCTTATAATATTTTTCATTTTACTTATTTGCATATGTATTTTTCCACTTGACTGCAAACTTCAAAGTGTACAGACATGCTGCCAAAGTGGTACCCCCAATAACAGCAGAGTAAGTTTCAAGAATTTATGCTCATTAAATATACCTGAATGGATAGGGGAATGAACATGCCTTCCTTCTGTTGAAATATCCAACATGCAACTATCATCTATTAAATGAAATCAAACTTACCTGGTTTGCTATTAAGAATTTGTAATCACCAGGTGGGTTCACCTTGCCCACTGCTTAGACAGAGCCAATTTATCAAGACAGGGGAATTGCAATGGCGTAAGAGTAATTCACGCAGATCCGGCTGTTCTGGAGAGGGTAGTGTTATTATTACTTAAATCAGTCTCCCCGAGCATTCAGAAATAAGAACGTTTAAAGATAATTTGGCAGCTAGGGGCTTGGGAAGTAGGAAGTGCTGATTACTCAGGTGGGAGATGGAATCATAGGGTGTCAAAGTGAGGTTTTCTTGCTGTGTTCTCTTCCTGGGTGTGATGGCAGAACTGGTTGGGTTAGATTACTGGTTTGGGTGGTGTCAGCTGATCCATTGAGTGCAGCGTCTGAAAAATATCTTAAGTGCTGATATTAGATTTTATAAAGTGATATTATCCCTGGGAGCACAATGGGGACATTCCAATTCTAGGAGCCAGAGGCTGCATGTCCCTTACATTGTAATTTTTAGTCTTGTAGCTAATTTGTTAGTCCTGCAAAGGGAGACTGGACCCCAGGCAAGAAGAGGGTCTTTTCGAGAAAAGGCTGTTACCGGTTTTGTTTCAGTCAAACCATGAACTGAATTCCTTCCCAAAGTCAGTTCGGCCTATGCCCAGGAATGAATAAGAACAGCTTAAGGGATAGAAGCAAGATAGAGTTGGTTAGGTCTTATTTCTTTCACTGTCGTAATTACCTCAGTTATAATATTGCAAAGGCAGTTTCAATCCCTCTGTTTGGGTTTTCTAATAGCTTAATCTTAAGGTGTAGGCTATGAAGATGGGAAAAGGCTGTCGATCACTCTGGCTTCTTCCTGCTGACAGGAGACATAGTGGAAATTAGAGTGAACCCCAAGGTGAGAAGAATGTAACCACTTTGCAACTGTCTGAGCATACTCATGCAGGACTGGCTGGGCTTCCAATGCTTGCAATGCAAAAACATTAGTACTCTCCTCTGTAGTTTTGCTATAATATTTAAGCCAACAGCCTCCTGTAAGGTAAATAACAAATCCTAGGATGAGGAGTACAATTCTCAATTTTAAAAGCAAAGATTGGAAAGCATTAATTTGGGGACTTCTAATCCACAAAGAATTTAGGATTTAGTCCAAACTGTAGGAAAAAACTCAAACAAAACTAACAATGGGTATATTATATGTTTTCTTTTGAAGCATAATTTTTCTCTCCAGACCCTATTTTTATTAAAAGTAAATTATAATAGAACTAATCTGTTTACCAAAATAAGCTTTAGTCTTACTGTACTTGGCCTGATTATTTGCATGAAGTGCAACAAGAATAATTATTTTTTATTTAGGCTGTTTTTTGTTTAAATTGGCTTTGATGGAACTCTGTTCCATGAGGAATCTCAGATAAGACTTTTTAAGAGCCAATCCCAGCCATGCATTTGTACCCTTAAATACCTATGAGTTGGGTAAATTCCTCTCCTCTCAAGGTCCCAAGATAACTTGGAGCTCATGAACCTGTTAGAAAGTGATATTCTTTACTTACTACAGATCAAGAACCTTGTACAAGGACTCTGTGTAGACAAGGTATGAAGCCAGATTCCCCAAGGGGCTTTTATTGGCTCTGTAAGTCAACTTCGATTCTTTAAGGGAAGAGTGCCATTCCAGTCAAAGCCTTGGTAAAATAACCAATTTCTCCAATTGTGTCATGTTACAAAAGAAAACAGATTTTTATTGTGCTTATGGAATTAACCATGCTGCCATAAATTGAGAATACTTACAAAGAGTTTCCAAATTCTGGAGAAATCAGGTAGAGAGAAACAAATATGCTTCAAAATTTTTTCACAGGAGTGTATTTTACCTACTTGTTAAAAGTTGCAAATATCTCTAAAGAAATAAGTTATCTTGACTGTGAAAACTGAAGGATTGGTGACATTTAAGACATCAGCTCTTCATGAGAGTCCTGGAAGTTTTGTTTTTTTCCTCTATTCCAATAGCACAATTTTTAAAGTTATCTGAGACCTGCACTCAGAGTCCTATACCTGATTATAAACTGCCTTTTGAAAACGACCAAAGCAAGACAAAATGTCTGTGGATGACAAAAGTCTATAGACACTATTAAAGCTATAATTGACTAGGAATTTTGCTTACTTCTGTGGCATCCAACAATTTTGTATAACAATTATAATTACTAATAATGTACAGTAAATTTTATCAGAATTATAGAAGTTTATATAAATACACAGACAGACAGAAAATTCAGCACTTGTAAGATTTTTTATTTGCCAGTTGTTAACTGGACTACTGGCTTCAGAGTGGAGCCCTTGGAGGAACAGGGCCAGGAAAGCATGCATTTTTTTTCCAAGCTAAATAAGCAGGCACAGCTGAAGGCAAAGACAGATCTCCAAAATGAAGGATGCCATTTTATACTGGATCCCAGATCCCCAAAAGGAAGGAAATACTACTGGAGAAGAGAGTGCAGTGCTTCTAACCTGCATTTTATTGCAAGGCAACCTAAAGCCAATCAACCCATTTTGAAATCAGCCCATCCCCCATGGAAGTCTCATCTCTCAGTCAGGCATGGGGATGTTTCCGTATCTTCCAGGTGGCCCAGAGCATGCTTCTCTGACCCAAGTGTGCGAAGAGCCAAGTTTCCCTCTGAAAATACTATTAGCCATCCCTTAAAGTATATTTCCTACCTAGTTATTACATACCAAAGCTATCTCATAATGCAAAGTAATTTCTGATATCCCCAAAATTCAAACTGTCAGATAACACAATGCAAAACAGAACAGAGCCTTTGATTTTGAGAGTGATCCATCTACTTTTAATTCCTTGGTTGTCATGAAGAAAACAGAGGGTTTTTTGTTTGTTTCTTGTTGTTTGTTTTTCCCAAAATGGGGTCTGTGGTGCTTCCTCTGTTTTTCTCAAGGAGTCTCAGGCTACCAAAAGTTATCTTAGTGCCTCTTATGTGTGCATTAAGAGTGGCAAGACAAAAAATGGAGAAAAATAATTCAGTTTACTAAGAAGAAAAAACCCTCTTTTACAGAAAAACGAGATCCAAGAAGAGAAAAACATAAAGGTCTTTTAAATGTATCCATAACTTGTTTATTCACTTTTAATTAAGCTGACTTTTAACCTTAGTGCTCTTAACAAAATCCTTTTAAATTTCGTATTACCCAACTTTAGCCATGCGGCCAACATTTCTGGCTTTTGAACTTTATCAAAAGTAACTTCCCAGGTGCTTCAAAGGTGTGGTAAGCAGTTTCTTTTTACAAGATTTAGAATTTCCCCAAGGTAGTCCAGAGAAAGGAAAATTCAAGAGAGGAAATCAGAAGCTATCCATGGGGTTGTGGGGGAACCTCATTAAATGGCAAAGTTATGCAAATAGCAAACCAGAAGGAAATTGTTCCAGAAGCCAAGAATAGAGCCTGAGCCTCTATGTCAAAAGGCAAAGTCTTAGCTACTGAATTACAGCATTGAGCAGTTTCTATTGCTATTCCAAGAAGGAGACTAGAGAAGCCACTTTTAACCTTGCCAAGGCTTTTAACTGCTCAAGAAAAATTTTTAGGGCTGGATGGTATAAACCAAAAGGAAGTATCCACATATGGTCACAAGATTAAGCTCTTAAGGAGGCCAAACAAGACAGAGAAATTTCATACAGTATTGGTTTCAGGGACCCATTATAATTGGCCAGCCTGCTGAGCTGGCTTGAAAAGCAGGCTTATAGGGGTCCTAAACCCATGTTCTATCTTGTGATACCCCTCTTTCCATTACAGAACACTGAAAGACAAATTCTTAGCAAAAATACACCAGATTTGCTATAGGCTAAGACTAGTCTTGTAAATTCTTTTTTCTATTAATCAAAACTTTACAGAGAAACATATAGTGATGTTTACTGTTTACACAGATGGAGAAAGAGAGAGAGACCAGAAACCTAGCTGGTAAGAATTTCTTACACTTTTTGCTGGCATACCAGATTTCTGGGTGCCTTTTCTCTGTAACTTCCAGAAGAACGGAACGGCTTCTGATCAGCCTGCTCACCTCACCATAGTTGTGGGGTTCAAGCCACTTTACAAGAAAAAAGTCACCATTTTCTGTTTTATGGAAACATAGGCAAGATTCTTAAAATGCAAGATGCTGCCCAACCAGCTGCATGGGGAACCATTTAACATTTTCTATCCCAGCAGAATTCACATAACAAAACAGACACTAGTCACCTCGTTCAGCACCCAATATCAACCTGGCAAAGCTCAGACTTTTTTCTGTTCGTCCCTGTTGTCTTTGATCCACTCCAGGTGGGGAGGGACGACCTCAGAACAGTAATTCACAATGGGGTCTCTGGGTAAGGCAAAGAGCAGATAGTCACCATGAGACAGGCCTATTGAACTTTCTCCAGGGCTCATCGAATGTAACCAAATAAGAAGAGTCCTCTGAGTTAGGCCTGCTGGACTTCCTTCAGCAATTCCTTCTGAGATTCCCTCCACATATACAAACACACACGAAGATGAGACAGACAGAAGGCCTTCCAAATCAGATGATCCCTAAACAGGAACTCCAAGAGTATCCCTTCCAAACTATCCTCCTATTCTCTGTCTGAGAAATCTCAAAATTGTCCTGATTGAGGACAAGTCTCGTGAACCAAGACTCTTCCTACTAGTTAGAGCCAACCAAGACCCCAGTGGAGCCGAACAGATACCCCGTGGTGGAGCTACAAACAGACACCCTGCAATGGGGCTACAGACACCCTGCAATGGGGCTACAGACACCCCATCATAGAGCTACAGACAAGTCGAGAGAAGGAAGGAGGCATTAGCAGTGCCTAGTAGATTCACCAATCCTAACACCCTGCAATGGGGCTACAGACAGACACCCCACTATGGGGCCACAGAACCAGTCAGGAGAAGGAAGGAGGCATTGGCAGCACCTAGGATACTCACCAATCCAGACACCCTTCAATGCAGCTACAGACGGAAACCCTGTGATAGGGCCACAGTTAGAGGACATCTCTCCAGGATTATTTCTCCGTTGCAATTAAATGCATGCACATTGGGTTGGCAGTGCCTGCCAGTGGAGAGAGTACCAGAGCCAGCCCCCAGTCCAAGAGAACTAGGCGGCTACTTGGGCTACCTTCTGGATCCATCGCTGGAGCGGGGGCACCAAACCACAAGCAGGTAGCCACAAAGGCTTTCCCAGTCTGATTTCGTTCATTGTTGTAATTTCCTCAGTTATAATTTTGCAAAGGTGGTTTCATATTCCTTAAGAGTTGAGCCACACATAAGTTTTATTCATTTGTTCCTACATGGACTTGACTACTGATTCAGTAAATAATTAGTAAATATTCAGTAAATAACTAGTAAAAAGAATGCCAAAAATAGTGCAGATGTAGTTCATGGCCCCTGTCCTCACAGAGCATAAATTCTAACAGTGGATAGAGATAAGTAGGCTGGGAATCACAATTAAATGGAAAAATAAAAAAAAAGGCTGGATGTGGTGGCTCAGGCCTGTAATCCAATAGCAGCAATTTGGGAGACCAAGATGGGTGGATCACCTGAGGTCAGGAGTTCGAGATCAGCCTGGCCAACATGGTGAATCCCCATCTCTACTAAAAATACAAAAATTAGCCAGGCGTGGTTGTGTGCACCTGTAGTCCTAGCTACTCAGAAGGCTGAGGCAGGAGAATCGCTTGAATCCGGGAGGCAGAGATTGCAGTGAGCCAAGATAGCACCACTGCACTTCAGCCTGGGTGACAGAGTGAGACTCTGTCTCACAAAAATATATAAATACATAAATAAATAAATGGAAAAAAAATGCTACTCTAAGGAGATACAAGGTGCCCTAGGAGCATATATCTCTGATGCTGTCTCCTCTGGAAGAATCAGAGAGGATTCCCTTAAGAAAATACCATCTAATCTGATACTTGAAGGATAGACAGATAGACAGATAGACAGAGAACAGTTCAAAAACCAGAAGAAATTAGAAGCGGGGGTGCTGAAACTATACAGATCCCTAAGTAGAGACTTGATTCCCTGAGAAAGGTGCCATCTAATCTGAGACTTGAAGGTTAGACAGACAGCAGTAGGAAAACAAGAATGAATGAGAAGGTAGGGGCTGGAAATACAGAGACCCCTAAATAGAATCTTTCCAGAAATTAAATGAAGGCAGAACGTTTTGAATGTAATGAGCAAGGTGGGAACAGTATCAGAAAATGAGTGAATGAGAAGGCCTAGATTAGAATAGGCTGAAAGTTTTCATGGTCAAATCTAGATATTGGAACACTCTTCGTTGCAAAGAGTAGAATAGAGGGACGGAGAGTAGATTGATAAAGTTCTTATGAATTTATTTCTTAAGAAAGAAAGGATGTTGGCCCGAATAGAAGTAATGAACAATTAGAATTGAGAGAAGTGGTCAGATTCTGAAAATGTTTAGCAAATAAAATCGATGCAATGTGAATTAAGAAGGGAAATAAGACATAGAGAAGGCCAAAGAGGTTGAATATCACCAGGTATTGCTGCTCTTTTGTACTTGGAGTATAGGTATTATTTACTAGTATATGGAAAAGAGAATGAAGGATGGAAATGAAAAAATGAACAGTTCATCTTTGTAAGTTGAGTTAAATGAGGTTGTGAGATGTAGTTGAGATATCTCATTGTCTATTGAATGTATAGGTTTCAATACCGACATCCACATCTGGGCTGAATCCATAAATTTGAGAATGATTTATTTATTCTTTTAAGCATATAATGGATGCCATCAGAATGTGTAGATTATACCTCAGGCCATACTTTTAATTTACTTATTTATTTATTTGACAAATAAACATTGTACATATTTTCTATGTACAACCTTCTGCTTTTATGAGTTTAACCTGTTTAGAGTCTATGTATAAGTGAGATAATGTGATATTTTGTGTTTTGGTGCCTGGCCTGGCTTATTTTACTTAATATAATGTTCTTCATGTTCATCAATATTGTCAGAAACGATAGGATTTACTTCCATTTAAAAGCTGAATAGTGTTGCATTTTGTATATAATCCACATTTTCTTCATCTATTAATCTGTCCACAGACATTTAGGTTGATTTTATATCTTGGCTATTGTGAATAATGCTGCAATGGAAATAGAAGTTCAGATATCTCCTCGAGACACTGATTTTCCAATTTTTGATATATACTTAATAGTGGGATTGCTTGATCATATCTTTAGCTCTATTTTTAACTTTCAGAGGTGTCTCCATATAGGTTTCCATAAAGACCATGCTAATTTACTCTTTTTTTTTTTTTTTTTTTTTTTTTTTGAGACAGAGTCTCACTCTGTTGCCTAGGCTGGAGGGCAGTCATGGAATCTAGGCTCACTGCAACCTCCGCCTCTAGGGTTCCAGCAATTCTACTGCCTCTGCCTCATGAGTAGCTAAGATTACAGGCGCCCACCACCACGCTCGGCTAATTTTTGTATTTTTACTAGAAGCAGGGTTTTACCATGTTGTCCAGCCTGGTCTAGAACTACTGACCTCAGGTGATCTGCCCGCCTTAACCTCACAAAGTGCTGGGATTACAGTCGTGAGCCACTGCGCAGGGCCTAATTTACGTTTTACCAACAGTGTACAAGAGTTTCTTTTTTTCTACATCCTCTCCACCATTTGTTATCTTTTGTCTTTTTGGTAATAGCCATTCCAACAGGTGCAAAGTGATATTTCATTGTGACTTCAATTTCCCTGGTGGCTAGAGAGGTTGATCATTTTTCATATACATATTCTCTGTATGTCTTCTTTTGAAAAGTGTTTATTCTGGTCCTTTGCTTATTTCTAAATCAGTTTATTTTCTTTCTATTGAATTGTTTGTGTTCTTTGTATTTTGCATATTAATTCTTTATCAGATGTATGGTTTGCAAATCTTCTCTACCATACTGTTGATTATCTCTTTAATCTTTTGATTGTTTCTTTGACTGTGTAAAAGCTTTTTAGTTTGATGTAATTTCATTTGCATATTTTAGCTTTTGTTTCCTGTCCTTTTCTGTCATATCCAAAAATCACTGTCTAGACCAATGTTATGAAGCTGTTCCCCTCTGTTTTCTTCTAGTAGTTTCACAGTTTTGGTTCTTACATTTACATATTTAACTCATTTTGAGTTTATTTTTGTATATGTTTAGAGATTTTTATTCTTCTGCATGTGGTTTTACAATTTTCCCAATATCATTTATTGAAGAATTTGTTCTTTCCCAGTTGTGTGTTCATGAAACCTTTGTTGAAAAGTCAAATTAATGTAAATAATTGGGTTTATTTCTGGGTTTTCTGTCCTGTTCATTTGCTCTCTGTTTCTATTTTTATGCAACTATTGTGCTATTTTGATGACTGTAGTACTTTGTAGTCTATTTTGAACTCAGATAGTGCGATGCCTGCAGCTTTGTTCCCTTTACTCAAAATTGCTTTGCCTATTCAGGGTTTGTTTTTTTGTGTGTGATTCCATATAAATTTTAGGATTTGTTTCTATTTTTGTAAAAGCTGCCATTAGAATTTTGATAGGAATTGCATTGTATCTTTAGATTTCTTTGGGTATTAGGGACATTTTAATAATAGTAATTTTCCAGTCCATCAACTCAAAATACATTTCTACTTATTTTTGTCTTCTTCAGTTTTCCCTATCAATATTTTATAGTTTTGAGATTTGTTATTATTGCTGTTATTTTTGAGACAGGATCTCATTCTGTAGCCAAGACTGGAGTATAGTGTCACAATTATAGCTCACTATAATCTCAAATTCCTGGGCTTAAGCAATCCTCCTACCTCAGACTTCCAAGAAGCAAGGACTATAGACACATGCTACTATGGCCAGCCAACTTTTTAAATTTCTTGTAGAGACATAGTCTCACCATGTTGATCGGGTTGAAGTTTTATACTTTTACGTGTACTTGTTTTTTACCTACTCGGTTAAATTGATTTCTAAGTATTTTTGCAGCAATTTTAAATGGAAATTTATTTATTTTTTAAAGATGGTTTATTGTTATACAGAAACACTACAGATTTTTGTATGTTGATTTTTTTTATCCTGCAATTTTCTTGAATCTGTTTATTTGTTCTAAAAGATTTTTGGTGGATCCTTTAGGGTTTTCCGTATATAAGACCATTTCATCTTTAAACAGGCACAATTAAACTTCTTCCTTTCCAATTTTGATGCCTTTTATTTCTTTTTGTTGGCGAATTGCTCTGGTCAGAACTACGTTGAATGGAAGTGGTAAATGTGAATATCTTTGTCTTCTTCCTGATCTTAGAGAAAGGGTTTTCAACTTTTCACCATTGAGTATGATGTTAGCTGTGTGTTTGTCATATGTGACTTTTTTTGTTAAAAACTCTTCAATTTTATTGCTTATTATATTTCTTCACATATCATTTATTCAGTCAACACTATATTAGTTTACTGAGCACACAAATAAATAAAACAGAAGCCCAGAACTCAGGTAGTTTGGATATCCCACACACTAATCTGTGTACTGTTTGCAAATCACACTGTGTTGCAACATCTGTACCTGATGTTGCAAGACTAACATTTTTGCTACCTCTTCTCAGAAGCCTTTGTGATCTCACCTGTTGGAATGCACTAATGTTTTCTGAGCCCCTTAAATATCTTGTCTACATTCTTTTAAGAAGCTCTTCACCAACTGTCAGGTAATGTAGTTTGATGAATTAAGAATGGGGGCTCTGGATTCTGAACCCCTAGATTTCAATTCTTGTTCCCAGTTACTATATACTCGGTGTTCTTTTACATTATTTGAGTCAATTACTTATTATCTTCCATTTTCCATATAAGAGAGGTTAATATATGTTTTATATGGAATTTTTGTGAAATTTCAGTAATGCACTTGGCATGATGAGGGCTCAATGAATATTAACTATTTTAACTGAACCATATCATGATTAACTATATAGACTATGGTGAAAAAAACAAGATTTGAATCCTAATTCATGTGATGTGACATAAGTTATTATTTAAATGGTGAATATAAAATAGGGAATATAATAACTACCCCACTGGCTTATTGTGAGGGTCCAGTATATTAACATTTGTAAAACCTTTGGTACAGTGATATGTAAATGATAATGATGATTATAATAATGATTTAAATTGTTTTATATGCATTCATTTTTTATTTATAATAAGTACATGGGAGATATTACCCTTTACTAAGTTAATTTATATTATGTAACTTTTTTCCTGGTTTGTAATGTCTAATGTTTTTCTCATAATAGCTGCCCAATAAGCACGTATGAAAATATTAATTCAAGATAACCCAGACAATGAGGCTGGTGCTTCTGTGCCAAAGCTTTTGTGCAATGTCCTGACATGATTTCTTTAGATGTCATTTTCTGTCAGCACTATCCTTACATCTACATGGATTGTATAATTATCTTTGTAGCATTGATTGAGAATTGATAAGATATCCAGCATTTCTGTGTACAATCTGCCGAAATCATATCTGTTGTATTGAAACAAAGGATGTATTACTTTGGTATCTATATTTCCTTATAAATATTCAAATTACTCTAAGGAGTAATACATTAACATGGTGTCAAATTAAACTAATCCACCACACTGGAAGATTAGGAATCAGGTTACTTTCAATTTTAAATTTTCATTGAGAACAAGATTTGAAAGAATTATAAATATGGATGCACTCATCCATTTATTCTTTAATTTATGTATTTAGCAAGCATATTAAGTACTTTTAAACATTTTGAATACAAAGATGTGGGTATAGGATGTAAGTTAAAAAAATGCAAATTCAAAGATATAGTTCTTTCACCAAGAAAACTAAATACAGAAAAGAGTAAAAATCATATAGGAAGTAAAAATCTAGTAGGAAGAATTTATATTCTAGACAAGAGCATTGACTTTCCCGGGAATATATATTTTAGGCAGATCATTATCACTATGGGCCGTGAACCAGTAAAAGAGAAAAATGAATACAGTGGATGACCAGGAAGTTTGCATTAGGTCCAATGCCACAGAAGGAAGTTGAGAAGCTAAAAGAAAAGAAAAGAAAAAAGAACAAAAAAGAAAATAAAAAGTATTTAGTGGCAATAAATTGTTAAACAACCTGGTAGGAATATGATGAATGACAGAACTCTATAGGTACAAGAAGACAGATGGTGAAGTAGGACATACTTTCAGAAGTATTTCACATTATAGAACTATATCTAAAGTGAGGGTGAAACTCTTTAAGCTGTGCCCATAGTTAAAGGAATCTTTCTATTTCTAACAGAAGGCAACCACAGAAAAAAGCCACTTAAGGTGTTGGAATCCCTGGGCAAAGATTTCCTCACTGGTGTTTTGGATAACTTGGTGGAACAAAATGTACTGAACTGGAAGGAAGAGGAAAAAAAGAAATATTACGATGCTAAAACTGAAGACAAAGTTCGGGTCATGGCAGACTCTATGCAAGAGAAGCAACGTATGGCAGGACAAATGCTTCTTCAAACCTTTTTTAACATAGACCAAATATCCCCCAATAAAAAAGGTAAGACTGGATTTTTTACAATGAATGTCTCAATTTTCCCTAAATCTGTTTAACTCCAAGGCCTAAGCAGTGTCTTCTGTGATTCCCCTATCTTTCCCTTCCTAAACTATCATTTTCACTAAACCTATCTTTGTCCTTTTAGAGACCACTTCCCTTTTGTGGGGTGGAATCCAGTTTACAATCAGCTAAAAGGCTGAGTCCTTGTGTTCAGACTGTGTACAAAAATAGTTAATAGTTCACACCTTGTAGTAAGGGACACATAGAACTAAACCTAGATTCTGTCACCTGTGACCTATGTGACATCCTGTAAGTTGCTTAACTTCCCTAGATCCTTAGTTATTAGTCTTACCATCTGTGAAATGAAGACAATTCCAGTACTTTCTCACAAGATCGTCTAAGCCTAGAAACATTATAATGACAGGCACCACACGCCAACAACTCTCAAGATATTAGCTCTCATCCGGAACTCTCTCCTCTGAACTCCAGGATCATTTAGCTCTAGCAACATATTCAACAGGTCTACTTGAGTGTTTTGCTGGCATCACAATACAAATACAGCTAAAATATACACTTTGTTCCCCAGAACAAAACTGTTGCATTTTTATTCCCTTTTCATCTCAGTAGACCGAAACAACATCTACCAAGTTTCTCCCACCAGAATGCAACTGGTTTCTTCACCAATTAATAACAGTAATCAGTAGTTTTCTTGGCACATAGCAGATGCCTAAATAATGTAGGATGAGTAAATAAATAAAGTATATGCATTCAATAAATACTAGTTTTCATAATTATTATGTGGATGCTATGAACTAGACTTTTCCAGTGCTTACTTACTTCTGCGAATTACAAAATATGATAAGGAGAATCTCCATAAAATGTCTAAAATTTTAAAACTTCTTTTTGGAACTTTTGACCCAGATTGAATTACGTATTATTAAAGGTTAAATATTCTCATATTGAAGTTCACCAGAGACAGACTCAATACCCCCCAGAATTTAAGCTGAAATCTTGAGCCATGAAGTATTACAGATTACCAATAATGATAAATAGTGATAAACAAAAGGAAATATAAATTGTTGAGACCTCACTATATCAAATGAGCTTTTTCAATCAGCACTCCTCTATGAAGAAGGGGTGTTCCTACCAACAGGGAGCACATGATAGTATGATAGTTGTCCAAGATTATAAGAAGGTAGCATTCTCATTAATATTTAAACTGGTCCCTTTGCAGGTTTTTAGTTTTTTCTCAAACCTGGATGGCATGGAAACAATCTCCATTTTCAAAAAGTCAGTGATAGTGCAACTAATGGGAATTAGAATAGAAGTAATAGAGGCTTCAGAATGGTTTTAGCAAACCCAGATATCACAATGAGCATTCAAGTCTAAACTGAAGTAATCTATCTGATTAGCAGAGGCTGTGGCAGGAATAAGGCAGCGGCAACCCCTCACAGGAGGGGTCTAGTGTCTCCCTGGGCTCTATCTGCAGTTGGAGTCTCCAGAGCAATCCCAGGAAACTTTAGGTACACTGCCAGTGTACCTAGAGTGTATCCAGCTCTCTTTGGGCAGCAGTCTGCAGTATAATATGTACTATCTTCTAATGAAATGATTTGCTTTCATGCTAATTTTATTATTGGATGTAAGATAGAAATTCTATCTAATTTCTAATTTTACCTGAAAACACTGTATCTCACACACACACATAATGATCATTAGGAGATGACTAAGTTATGAAGTTCTCTAAACCTGTAAGTGAAGTGGAAACAGGAAACTTTGGATTAGAAAACATACCCTCTGACCAGGGAATATCCAGGATCCAGCATGTCTTCACATTGGCAGAATTTTCTGAAATAGGACCGAAGGTCATATATCACTGTGTAATCTATGAAAAGAGATGCTCAGAAGGTTTGATATTCATACACACTCTTACAACTTGTTACATCTCCAGAGCTCAGACTGGCTGGCTTTACAAATAGCTGGCTTTACAATTTGCACAGGGATAATTGAAGTTCATTTCTTCTAGAATCATTAAAAATTAACAGTAAAGTTGCTAAAAAAATAATGCCTTGAAAGTACAAGATTCAATATTCTGTGCTTTGGTGTATGTATGTATTTATCTGTATGTGTAGTGGGGATTAGGAGGGGACGATTACTCCAAAATAGGATTTTGTTCCATCCTGTATGGGATAACTATTAAGCATTTGGCTTGTGGCTAAAAATACATGTTAAAATAATACTTTTTGTATGTTATGTTAAATAAATGTTATTAGAATTAATTTTACCTGTTTAATTTTACTTTTTACATGTGATAGTAGAAATTAAATATTGGACATGGAACACACATTAAATTTGTAGTAGATAGTGTTCTGACAACTATTTACTCAGTATACTCTTGCACAGACACAATAGAAAGTCCACACAGATAAATGAGTATCCTGGAGTAAAACCTTTGGAAAAATCAAATTCTTTTGACGGTATAAGGAAAGGCCAAATTTAACCCCAACATCATTGACATGTTTTCCCCAGAATGATCAGAATATATGATTACATGTTTGGGTGGATCTGCTTTTCTATCTTTTCCAGTAACAATACATCTCCTGATGTAGAATACTAGATATGAGATACAACTAAAACCCCTATATGTGAAGAAATCTTCCCAGGACGTCTTCTCTCTCGATCTTCTTAGGTGATAAATTGGGTCACAGAGGCAGAAATCACAATTTATGTTCTGCAATATCCTGCAGCTCATCCGAATATGGAGGCTGGACCACCTGAGTCAGGAGAATCTACAGATGCCCTCAAGCTTTGTCCTCATGAAGAATTCCTGAGACTATGTAAAGAAAGAGCTGAAGAGGTGCTATGCTATCTATATGAAATAGAAAAAAAAGAAGAGATATCATTGCTTTCCTTCAGTGCACCATTTCTTACAGCACTAAATGATTGGGGGTGGGGATGACAGTAACCATTTTCAATAATGCTTTTACTAAGGGAAAGATTATGTGACTTCACAATGATACCAATCCTTTCTCAATCCATGATGCAGATCATTTTATCATGAGTTGAAAGAAAATTGGTATTTCTATTGCTCCTGTATTTATTCTTGTAATTATTTGGATTTTATGGCAATTGTAGCATTAGCCATGGAATAAACATATTTGGAGGATAATATAGCTGACTTGTAATTGGTTGCACTCTACTTGAAAAGTCTAGACATGAAGGATACTTGGGAAATATAATTAAAGCTTGAAAAACATTATAAATTTATGTGTTAAAAATAGTAACAAAATAGCTATGCTTCCGAAGGCAAAGACTTTTGCTGTATTCATTTTTCACTGGAGTCAACGACAACATCTCGTTTTGTATGAAATTTGACCTGAACTTTGAATGCTAAGAAAGATTGGAGTAGGTGAAGAAGAAAAGGGAGAAGAAAAGGCATAGGAATTATCTAGTTTCCTCAAGATTCTTAATAACAATTTCAGATATGTCCGGTTCTTTCCCTGGGTTCTTGAGAGAGAGAAAGTCAGTGTCTTTTGATACAAGTTAGAGCAGAGAGGAGCTGCATGAAGACTTGAAAAAGCAACACTGATAGGCATAAGGAGGCTGAAAGGAGACTTGAGTAAATTAAATTTATTGCATCTCCATATCCTGCAGATCTATCCAATAAAGGAGAGAAACAACCGCACACGCCTGGCTCTCATCATATGCAATACAGAGTTTGACCATCTGCCTCCGAGGAATGGAGCTGACTTTGACATCACAGGGATGAAGGAGCTACTTGAGGGTCTGGACTATAGTGTAGATGTAGAAGAGAATCTGACAGCCAGGGTAAGAATCCCTCAGCCGCCACAAACACATACATATTCAAGACACATCCTTCTAATAACTACCTAGCTTCAAAGAGCTCAACAAGGTTTAACAACCTTTGGGTGTGTGTGTGTGTGTGTGTGTGTGTATACAAAATAAGAGTACTAGACTGGTAAATCTATGTCTCTTTGGTCCTCCAAATATCCTCAATTCTGGAAAACTAGACTAAACATGATTGACACGTGTTTTCACATTTCTTATTGAATTCCAAAATCATGTGATTGGGATGCAGCCCCGAAAATCCCCAGAAAATTGTAGAGTAATGAATGTTAAATGGCAGTATACTTATAAAACAAATATTGAATCCTAAACTTGGTGCTAAGAGCTATTCCTAACGTTGGGAATAGGTCTGTAAATGAGACAGGAAGTTCCCAGCCAGCATTCATCTAGGTTACAGTAGAGAGAAACAGTGAAATTGTAAGAAAAAAGACAACTTCAAGCACCAGGTGTGCATATGTGTGTCTACAAAACAGCGACAAGACAGCCAAAAGTAAGTAAAAAGAAAATAAAAAGGAAATATGAGACAGAATTGTAGGGTGGGGAGCAACGTTTTTGGGTTGGTTGGAGATGGCTCTGGAAAGACATGAATGCAGCGCCTTCAAAGTAGGAGACGCCACCTGTGAAAGAGCTGAGCTGAAAATGAACCTGGCACACGAGAAGCACAAAGAGAAGACCAGTGTGACTAGAGGTTGAAGGAGAAGGAACATAGTATGAGGGTGGTGTATGGTCAGGCCAGAAGTTTGATTCTATTCTAAGCATAGTGGGATGGATTTTACAAAGAACATGGTGTGTTGCATTTATAACACATGACTTGCTAGGTAAGGAGATAGAAGATTGAGATGGAAAAGAAAAAGTAACATGAGTAACACATAGCAATATACAATATACTAAGAAGACAGTATGTCAGCAGGAAGAGAAAATGGGAATCCACGGCCCCATAAAGAAGGAAAAATAAAACCATTAAACAGCTGTCATGACTGAGTAAGCACTAAGTGAAGCACCACGACCTGGATGTTACATATGTTTCTTGTTTCGCTCATGGTAAATCTAGGAGTCCCCTTTAATTGTGATGCTTCTCTGACTGAAGTTAGACATTGCTCTTTTACAGGATATGGAGTCAGCGCTGAGGGCATTTGCTACCAGACCAGAGCACAAGTCCTCTGACAGCACATTCTTGGTACTCATGTCTCATGGCATCCTGGAGGGAATCTGCGGAACTGTGCATGATGAGAAAAAACCAGATGTGCTGCTTTATGACACCATCTTCCAGATATTCAACAACCGCAACTGCCTCAGTCTGAAGGACAAACCCAAGGTCATCATTGTCCAGGCCTGCAGAGGTGGTGAGTGCTGAGACTGAACATCTAACAGTTATGAAGGTGTATGCAGAGGATTGTGATGTTTGGTTTATATTTAGGGGCAACATTCTTAAACCTCATCCAGTGTAAATAAAGTACATTGAATTCTAAAGAAACTCTACCTAAGGGTCTGGTATAACAAGAAATTGTCTCATCAAAATTAGTGGAGAAATTTCTGTTCAATTTTATCCACAGTAAGTGGTGAAGGAGATCATCAGAATCCCTAAATCAAAGTTAAACAGAAATACTCAAACTTTGGAATGGAATCATTTTCATGATAGCTTGATTTGTAAATGTTTTACAGAAATTTTGACATTGTGTGGTTTGAGAAGAATTTCATTTGAAACTGGGGCCATTATGTAAAACAGCATCCCTTTTTCTTATAATTATTGAGGGGGAAATTAGTAAAGAGATCAGGGGACTGTAGAATGTTGCAGTGCCACTTTGCTCCAAAGATTCAATTGCCTCATGGCTGGCTGAGGATGGTGGCTCATGCCTATAATCCCAACACTTTGGGAGGCCAAGACAGGAGGATGGCTTGAGGCCAGGAATTTGAGACCAATTGTCTGATAGCTCTTGGGAGCTATTTTTCAAAAGAAAACAGATTTTTTTTCTAGAAAATGGTAAATTCAAGATGATTTCACTATCAGTAGGCACATTGTTGAATGACACTGGAGAGAAAGAAAAGTGGTGTGTGTGTGTGTGTGTCTCTCTCTGTGTGTGTTTGTATGTGTGTGGGTCTGTATGTATGAAACTAGTAAGAATGAACATTCAAAAAGAACAAGGTGGGCAACTGTGACAGCCATTCTGTGGGAGGCACAGCAGTGTGCAGAAAGTTAATGTCTCCATAGCAAACCGTGGGGAACTGTGGGTCAGAGACTCTCCAGCATCCTTGGAAGTGGCCTCTTCACAGTCATCTGAGAACCTAGAGGAAGATGCTGTTTACAAGACCCACGTGGAGAAGGACTTCATTGCTTTCTGCTCTTCAACGCCACGTATGTATCTTTCAGTGGCAGTAAGGGATTTGTGGGCCTGAGGCCATCTTTGAATGAATCTAGAAAATCAAGAATCCCTATGAAACAATGATCTGATAGAATGTTGTGTGCTCTCCACATATTTTACATGATCTTATGTGTGCCGTGAGAACAGATTCCTAAAGCAACCCGATACATGGAAACCCATTCACCACTCACCATTTAAACAGATGATGAATTCTGTTTTTTTTATTAAGCCCATTTAACATTTTACATAGTGTTTTTATGGATTCCAGGAATGGCTTCTCTTTCTCAAATGATCAACTTCAAGTCTTCTTTCCATATTTCACATCTGATTCTACAATGAGCAGTGCCATTGCATGCCCTGCTAGAACTGTGGATACCCTTTAAAACAAGTAGAAAATGATAGGGTGGGGCTGATTAGGTCTAATCTCAGGGAACACTGGTTAGTATTTCATGTCTAGGTAATTATCTTAAGGAGCGTACATTTAACTGTTTTTGATTTGTATATTTTTAAATCTTATTTTTTAAAACCACTTTATTGAGGTATGATTGACATACATAATGTTACATATTTAATGTATACAACTTAATGAGTTTGGAGATTTCTATGTACTCCTGAAATCATCACCACTATCTATGCCATAAACATATCTCTCTTCTCCAAAAGATTCTTACACTTCTCTGTTTATTATTATCATCATTCCGTGACTGCGTGTGAGAAGTATACTTAGCATAAAATCTACTCTCTTAACAAATTTCAAGTACATAACACAATGTTGGTTACTACTGGCACCACCCTGTACAATAGATTTTTATCACTTTTTTCAGCTTCTATCACTGAAACTTGTCATGTGTTCATCTATTTCTATTATACGGTGAAAGACAGTGTGGCATAATCTGCAAACAACTTTGGAGCCTGGTGGCAATTTTTTGTTGCTTACTCACTGTGTGAACATGGGGAAGTTCCTTCATCTTTCTGTGCTTCTATTTCTTCCTCTGTAAAGTGGGATAATTCTAGTTATTTCTCAAGCCCCTATAAAAGCTGAGAGAATGAACATGAGTTTTGTAGTAGAAAGCCAATCCCAAGAATCAAAATTTCTTCAATACACAATCTCTTGCAATGCTTACCAACTGCAACTTTTGATCACCTTTTGCTAGGTTTTCTGTTTACGTTCTGTGGAAAGTAGGTAAATGTCAGGTTGTAAGTGCTTCCTACAAATCTGTAAAGATAATTCCCAAGCTATGCTTTTCTTTTTAAAAACATTCTCAAAACAAAAATATGAACAAAAACATAGTGAAAGTCATAGCCCAAGGCATACCCATCTGTATCATTATAGACAACGTGTCCTGGAGAGACAGCACAATGGGCTCTATCTTCATCACACAACTCATCACATGCTTCCAGAAATATTCTTGGTGCTGCCACCTAGAGGAAGTATTTCGGAAGGTAAGTGTCTCTTTTCTAGTTACTCATTTATTTCTTCAGGAAGAATTTGTCATGATTCACTTTTTACTTCACAATGACAATTTTTGTCAGGGAAGTGAAAGTAGAGAGGTACCCAGTTTCTGTCATTCAGTTGTTTAAAATATGGCTAAGGAAAAGACAATTCCAATATATCCCAGCAGAAGATCAAAGTAAAATAAAATAATATCAACCATAAGCTTTATGTTATGGAGCGTAAGTTCTTAAGTTTTAGAGAAGGAAAAATATTTTGAAATAATTTTTATTTCTTAATTTATTAAATGAATAAAATCTGGGTGGTCTGCTAGGTCATGGATTTCCTCCTGGTGACAGAGGGGTAAATGAGGCCTACATGACGTAATCCTATCTAGGACTCACATTTTCGTGGGAGATATGGATACTGAAAATGTGGGTTAACAAACAAATATGTGCTTACAGATTGTGATAGGATCCATAAAGACATGTGAGAGGGAACAAAAAAGAAGTCATTCTTTCAATAAAAAAGTGCAGAAGGAAAGGTTTGCTACTTCTTGCCCAACTTGGGACATTCCTTATTCCCACTACTTCCTATGTTATTTTTCTCCATAGCTCGTACATCTACCCACTCAGCAAATATTAATAGTTTATTTATGTGTCTGGTTTTTTACTTGTATTTACTCACTAACATGCAAACTTCGTGATGGCAGGGATTTGCTCAGCAATTCAACAAACCTGGCACGTAGCAGATATTCAATTAATAATTATTGAATAAATACATGCATAAATACACAGATAAATGCACCCTCTTGTTTAAAGAGAAAATGGGATTGGTATTAACACAGAATAGTATAATTATTAATAAAGTAAAAATTGTAGAGAACAGTAAAACTCCTGCGGGAAAAGAAAGATACACCTCTGGCGTTTATAGAAGAAAGCCATCCAGAACCAGCACAGTCACTCATTCCTGTAATCCCAGCACTCTGGGAGTCCGAAGGAGGGTGGAGTGGCTTGAACCCAGGAATTTGAGGCCAACCTGGGCAACATGGCAAAACCCATCTCTACAAAAAATACAAAAATTAGCCGGGCATATTGACTGGAACCTGTAATCCGAGCTACCTGAGAGCTGAGATGGGAGAATCGCTTGAGCTCAGGAAGCGGAGGTTGCAATGAGCTGAGATTTCACCACTACCCTCTAGCCTGGATGACAGAGTAAGACCCTGTCTTAAAAAAAGAAAAAGAAAGAAAAGTAGTGAAATAAGAAGAAGGAGGAGGAGAAGGAGGAGGAAATGCAGCATAAATTGAGACAGAGCTCCTGTGAATAGAGATCTGGGAAGTTAAATCTTTTAAATCTTCTTGGATAAGTGGGAGTTAGACATTGTACTTTCAAGGATGTTCATAGAAAAAGGAACTAAAAATTCTGGATTTAGGATAAGTAGACTTACCAATTAGTTGATGCAAAAAAACTACAAGATCAGCTTGGTGGTGGAGATATGAAAGTTGTTCAGTGTTTGGGTCTTAAAGATAAGATACTGGGGCTGGGCACGGTGGCTCACGCCTGTAATCCCAGCACTTTGGGAGGCAGAGGCAGGAGGATCATGAGGTCAGGAGTTTGAGACCAGCCTGGACAACATAGTGAAACCACGTCTCTACTAAAAATACAAAAAACCAATTAGCTAGGCGTGGTGGTGGGCACCTGTAACCTCAGCTACTTGGGAGGCTGAGGCAGGAGAATTGCTTGAACTCTGGAGGCGGAGGTTGCAGTGAGCCGAGGTTGCACCATTGCACTCCAGCCTAGGCAACAGTGCAAGACTCCATCTTAAAAAAAAAAAAAAAAAAGAAAGATAAGATACTGGGATTAAATTCTCCTTCAATTGAGGAATCAGCCTTGGTGAGTGTTGAAAGTACAGAGTCCTTCCTTATCTGGTTTTCATGAATAGTTTTCAAGGGATAACTTATTGTCAGATCTGTAGGTCAGAAATGGAAAATAGAGGAAATGAATGTTGAAAGACCTTGGATTAGACATGAGGTGTTTATTTTGATGTAAAGCATACAGTCTGACATGGAGTGGCAATTCTAAGAGGTAGGGTACAATGTTGAGGAGTTAGAATGCCCATGGGCTTGGTTCTATGAAACCTGCAAGCTCACTTCATTCCAGGTGTTGTCTGGTACATGGTGAAAGATGCTTTCTGAGACTTGAAAAGAGTCGTATCTCATCTACAGCCTATTTTCTTTTTCAGGTACAGCAATCATTTGAAACTCCAAGGGCCAAAGCTCAAATGCCCACCATAGAACGACTGTCCATGACAAGATATTTCTACCTCTTTCCTGGCAATTGAAAATGGTTAAGTATTGAGAGTTGTTGGTGGTATGTGAAATAAATAAGAGAGTGATATTGGTGGTTAAGTTCAATGACAAATGACAGCTGAGTACTTGGATGGTCAAATTGGTGTTTTTGTTGATATAGTCTGGTGATTATCTGCTACTTCTTTCCGACTTACATGTATTTGGATTCCTCCAACTCTACAATTAATCAGGCAATCAATCAATCAATCAAGGAGGTAAGGAAAACCGCAGCAGAATGTGATGATGAAAAACCAAGGATAGTAATTATTAAAATAGAAACATGCTCATGCTTCCATTACTATTTATATTCATTTATCTCTCATAGTCTTTCTCTTTTATTCCCCTTTCTTACACACACACACACACACACACACACAGAGAGAGAGAGAGAGAGAGAGAGACACTAAGTAGCCAAACATTGCATCAAACCCTAAACAAAACAGAGTAAACAAAGGAGCTAACTCTGGAGAAAGCAGCATTTTGATCCTCTGAGTGAGGATGTCACAGCAAATACCACATTACTGACATCCAGATACCATTACCAGATGGTACAGAATACATCCTACACTGTAGAGTTTGTGTTGATCCAGGCTCTGGTTCTCAGACTGTTCTCACAATGCAGATCACCAATCACTCAGGGTTGGCTTTTGAATCTTCAATCACAGTCCAGAAGTTCCTTCAAGCTCCCATGTAACTTTTGTTATTATTTTGACCAAAATATTATAGAATGGGTACATTGAGTCTGGACTAAATGATGACTTTCTTCACTCATAATAGCTTTATTTAACACTAGACTATAAGACTATTATCAATCTCCCTCTAAGATACATACTTAAAATTATATTTTATAGTGAAATGTATAAAGTTGTTCTCAATACTTCCAACATTTACCACATAATTTTTACTCTTGGTTTCTGACACTTCAGTCACAATATTGCATCATTTCAGCATAACAGCTTTCAGTGCCTAATCCATCCAGTGGGGCTGCATTTGGACATTGAATTGTTTGTTGACTAATATTTGCCAACACTAACTGTGCACCAGGTTTTGTTCTAGATGCTTGGAATATGCCAATTAACAACGTAAATAGATTTCTTACACTCTGAAAGCTTATATTCTAGTGAGTAGAAACAGACTCTGAAGACATAAAGTGGTAAATATATCACAGGCCGGAGAGCAAAAAAAGATAAAAGGAAAAATAAAGGAAGACAAAGGAAAACACAGAATGATGGATGCTGTACTCCTATAGATATTTCACTCAAAAGCTTTTCTTGAAATAATGAAATCAGAACAAAGAATGGACAGAGTTGGGGAGTGAATAATGTGGTTCTTATGCAGGAAAAGTGTTCCAGCACAGAATACAGCCAGTGCAAATGCCCTGGGATAGCAATGCACTAAACATGTTTAAAGAACTGCAATGAGACAGTGTGACCAAAAGAGAACGTGAGTGGAGAAAATGGCAGAGACAAATTAGGAGAAGCAGTGAGAAGCCAGATCGCGTGGTTCTATGTTATCACATGGTAAACCTTTAAAAATTATTATCTGAGCGAGACAGGAAGCCTTTCTAGTGCTTTAGAAAAAAGAAGTAATATGCTTTAAATTAGGTTTTACAAAGATCACATTTTGGTGAATAGACTAAGATGTCACAGATGGAAGTCAAGGGAAGTGGCAAGAGCACATGGAAGAGGATGCAAGAAGAATCATGATGAGGGATGGGATGAAGGCAGCAAGGGGTAACCATCTTGACCTTCTGTTTTTTCTCTCCCCTGCAGGAAGCCACAAGCAGCCCAGCCCTCCTTAATCAACTTCAAGGAGCACCTTCATTAGTACAGCTTGCATATTTAACATTTTGTATTTCAATAAAAGTGAAGACAAACGAACTGTGTCTTTTTCTAATAGAGAATATAATCTCAATGAAAATGGTGGGTGAGTGGAAATGAAGTGGAGGAAGCTAACTGGATTTTCGAGCTTTATGGCTCATGAAATATCTATACTTGGCTGATGAAGAAAACTGACTGATTTATCCCCAACAATAGGATGAAAGATGTTGCCGAAAACTATAGTGAGATACTGCCTCATACCCATTTGAATGACTCCCATCAAAAAAAGCCCCAAAAAACAGAAAATAACAAGGGTTTGAAGGGATGTAGAATAATTGGAATCCTGTGCTCTATTGGTGAGAATTTCAAATGGTACAGCCACCTTGGAAAACAGTATGGTATTGCCTCATAAAATTAGAAGTAGACTTACCATATGCTCCAGAAACTCCACCTATGGGTACATAACTAAAGTAATTGAAAGCAGGGTCTCAAAGATATATTTATACACCCACATTTATAGCAGCATTGTTCACAATATCTAAAATGTGGAACTATCTGATAACTGATAAATGGATAAGCAAAATGTGGTGTATACACATAATGGAATTTTATTCAGCCTTTAACGAGAAGGAAGTTCTGACATTTGTTACAATATGGATGAACCTTGACATTATGCTATGTGAAATAAGGCAGCAATAGAAAAACACATACTGCATGATTTCACTTACATGAGGTACCTAGGGTATAAAATTCATAGAGACAGAATGTAGAATGGTGATGGCCAGGGACTGTGGGGAGGAGGAAATGGGGAGTTATTAGTTAATGATATAGAATTTGAGCTTTGCCAGACAAAGAGGAATTCTGAAGGTAAATGGGGGTGACACTTATATGACTTTATGAATGGATTTAGTATCAAACACTACATTTAAAAATGTTAAGATGGTCAATTTTGTGGTATGTATTTTTACCACAATAAGACATTGGGGACAAAAGGGATAACTGGAGGTGAGAAAAGATGGAGTAAATTGCACCCGGGAAACTCTGATCAACTTACACAGAAGAGAATTAAGCTACTGTGCAAAACTGATGAAAGAAGAAATGAGAGTAAAGTATATTACTTATTATTTCAAAATGAATCAAGGAAATAATCGGAAATCTCACCACCATCAAATATTATGTAGAACAAGAGAGAGATCTGGCAGTGTGAATGAGCTATATTTCATTTTTCATATAAGACAGTTAACCACTTTTCTACTGTGATAAATCTTAGCAAAACTAGGGGTCCAAGCATATACGTCTTTTTCTCCCCCATATGGTTCATCAAACTGAGTTAGGCAACTTTACTTTCACACACCTGTGATGCCTCAGGAGCCACCTTGACATACACATGTCAAGAAAATTATTAATTCTATATCTGATGATGTCTTGATTCCACTTTCACCATACAAAGCAGAGACCAAAGGTGTCACTCACAGATACTCATCTATTCTGCCTTAGTTGTTAAATAACTGTCTAGTCATTCATGTGAAGACCCTCTTGTTTCCCAAGTGATGTGCATGGTTTCAGGTGACTTACATCTTTAACAGGACTTATTATCAATCAGTCAAGCATGTGGAAAAAAAATTCAGTAAAGAGTATCCAACACATTGGGGTAAAGTTCTCCAGAGAAGGTGAGGCTTTTTCAATGTCCATCTTTCTTTAGGTTCACTATTTGGAAGTTACCTTAACACAGAAGACTCTCAAGCAGTGTATTCTCCCTTCCTAGGTAACAGTGCTTCTAAAAAAATAGCATTGTTTGAATCCCATCTTCCTTGGTATTAATTACATAGGATAAACCCAGGGTGGGAGGGCTATGGGTAATTCTCATAGATTATTAAATCTATGAGAGTATATATAATAGAGTAACCTATGAGTGTATATATAATATATATACACTGAATTAGTAATCATTGAATTCCTCTATAGTACAAAATATTTTCCTTAAACTGTGAGCAATAATAGAGAATTCAGTGGAAAATGATCTATGCTGGAGTACATTAGAATTTGACTCCACATAGAAAAGGTCTGCAATGTTGGGATCATTCAGCAGTCCAATTTGCCCAGACATCAAGTATTTATAGAATAGTGGAAGCAGAGGGCAGAGAAGCAGAAAAACAAGCAAGGCACATTTGGGTCCTACCTTAAAGTGGGTTTTACCTAGAAGTATGAAGTACATAAAACAGAATATATCTGAATAATTGTAAATGTAAGCTTTGGTGTAAGATCCTTGCTTTTATAGACTGACACAGCCACTTAGTACTTGGTAAATTAATTTCATTTATTTAGCTTCTCTGGGCTTTCTTTGAGTTCCTTACTAATAGATGTGAATATAAATATCATTGTTCTAAGGATGTAATGAGTTAATATAGGCAAAATATTTAGCATAGTCCAGAATAAAGAAGGTGTTAAACAACTGCTATCATTAAAGATATTTCTACTTTGTAACTTAACTCAGTTAACTTCCTTATCAAGGTTTAAATAAAAGTCATTTGAATCTTTTCATTCACCATGTTTGGCAGTTTCCTGGGACTTGCATTCTCTTGGTCACCTATGGCCTGAAGGTCTTGGCTCTGCTCATATAGTTAAATTACATATTGTCTATAATGAGATGCCCTCCCTCAGGAGACAGACTGGTTCCACATTGTGCTGACCATATCCTAAGGTAGAATTAACTTTTTCCATGATCAAAAACGATGATACCACACAAAAGACCCAAACATTTCTAGCTTCAGTGTAATTAGTAGACTTTAATATTAGATGGAATTGTTCTTTAAAATCATTTGATCCCAGCCTTCTGCATGACTTTTGCCTCTGTCTTTGCAGCCCTTTGTCGGTCCACTGTTTTCTCAACATCAGTCTTGCTGGTTTCTGTCTCTTTCTTTTCTTTCACTACTTTTTACTCCTCCTTTCCAGATGACTATCAGAAACTCCAATTTAGTTATCTATGACTCCAATATTACACCTAGCTCCACATTCCACTGTGTAAATTCCAATCATATCATGGTGCTCTCCTGAAGAAAAATAACCATCTACTTCCTTAATTTCACAAAATATTTGCAGAGACACCTGTCTCCATCTCATCTCTTACCTACTTTATTTAACTGGAACAAGACTTAGTTAAAAACCTTCCTTTAATTGTGATAGACATGGTTCTATATAGAATTTTAATTTATTATTCAATATATTTTATTACCATTACCATTGACTAAAAGATTGGATTAAAGAAAGTGTCCATGGTTATATACAGAGCTATTTCCATTATTTTTCCCTCACACCTTCCTTTGTATAATATTTATATGTCTTCATTACTTCTGTGTCAACTATGTAATAAATTAATTCTTCTTCAATATTTCTGTTGTCCATAAGAACTTTTTTCCTCCAATATTATGTATTTCTTCCGTAATCAACCCTTTCTAGATTTTCACTTTTGTTCTGTTGTACCATTTTTGTATTTAGTTAAAATTTTGTGTAAATATTTTTGGTGAATATTGTTTAATTCTAATTAAAATTATTTTTGAAGTTGATAAATTGAGAAGCTATTAATAGAATTATACTGTAGAGATTGAGTATTACATATCCTATATTATTCCATACACTTGTGATGCTTCAGATATCTTTTGTGTATGAATTATTATCCTCCCCTTTATAGATGAGGCAATTGCATTTCAGAGCTCATGATTAACTTAAATCAGTTAGTAAATATCACTCTTGAAATGCACATATAGGTATGTCTTTTCCATGGACCAGTCACTTTCCTCTGCCCCATTTTACCTTTCTCTTACTCTCTACTAAATTGATGACTTCTTGAACTCAGGGAATACGCTGCTCTAATATCTGCACCACATACAGCACACTTGTCAAATATCAGTAACAATATACTCACTGAATTTTGAATATATTCACTAGAAATATAATCCAGTGTATAGAAAACAAAGTGAATTCCATTGCATGCCTTAGCTGACTTAGAAAAAAAACAATATTTCTTCTTTTTCTTCAGGCAAGAGCCAGTCTTGGGATTTGTGAGGTGGTTTATTCACAGATGTTTCTTGCCAACATTTCACAAGTGGCTTTTTACTCTGACACTTATCAAACATTGGCAAGAATATCCCTTATCCAGTGAAAAGGAGGATATTTTCTGAAAGGTGGGCTAAAGATGCTTCTACCACTTGACTACCCTGGATGCTAGACTATTGCAGTTGGAAACATAGAAAGCAGATCTGGCCTGCCCTGAAGAGATGGAATGAATGGACTCGAATTTACCTGTATCCTTCATGGCTATCAGATCCAGAGCAGATTTTAAAAACCCCGGGGAGGGTCATTCAATGCTTAGATATGCATGTTGCTATGCTTGTTGCAGGTGAAAGTACTTTTTTATTTTTGTTATTCATTTCGCTGTATTTGTCGCAGTTTTTCTGGCTAAAGATTCTACATCAGAGCAAAGGTCTACAGACTTTCTCTTTTTAGGTCTGATTTTCATTTGAGCTTCCAGATTATAGGGCACAGATGCTCATCACTGAGTGACATTGACAAGATGTTTTTATCTCTTCCTAGGACATTAAAAGAAGTAGGCTGTATGAATGCCTGTGGGCCGATGTGTATGTGTGTTGCGGGGTTGAAGAGGTTGGAGAGGAGTACTGAAACTCCATTCTGGTCAAGGTATCTAGCCCTAAATGTGGTTATTCCTCATCCAAAAATTCAAAATCCAAAATTCTCCCAAACCTAAATTTTTTCCCATTACCTCCCACATTTTTAAATTGAAAAGTTACATTAAGAGGTACATGTGCACTTTTGTGACCTAAGAATATTGCATGATGCTGGGGTTTTGGTGACAATTGGTCCTGTCATCCAAGTCGTGAGCATAGTACACAATAGGTAGTTTTTCAACCCTTGTCTTTCTATCTCCTTCCTTCCTCTAGTAGAACCCAGTGTCCATTGTTTCCCATCTTTCTATCCACGTGTACCTAGCGTTTAGCTCCCACTTATAAATGAGAATACACAGTATTTGGTTTTCTGTTTCTGAGTAAATTTGCTTAGGATAATGTCCTCCAGAAGCATTCATGCCACTCCAAAGGATATGATTTCGTTCTTTTTATAACTGTGTAGTATTCCATGTCGTATATGCACCACATTTTCTTATCCAATCCACCCTTAATGACACCTAGATTGATTCACTGTCTTTGCTATTATGAATAGTGCTGTGATGAATATATGAGTGCATGTGTCTTTTTGAAAGAATGAGTTATTTTCTTTTGGATATATGTTCCATAAGAGGATTCCTAGATTAAATGATAGTCCAGTTTGTTTTTTCTCTCTTTCTTTAATTTTCAATTTTAGGTATATATTTATGTGTATACACATAACATATTTATGGGTTACATGAGATATGTTGATACAGGCATGCAATACATAATAATTACATTGTGAAAAGTGAGGCATCCATACCTCAAGTATTTCTCTTTTGTATTACAAATAATTCAGTTATGCTCTTTTAGTTATTTTTAAATGTACAATTAAATTATTATTGACTTTAGTCACCCTGTTTTGCTAGAAAATACTAGGTCTTAATCCTTCTTTTTAACAGTTTTTGGGGGAAATAACCCTCCCCAATTTCCCTGCACCCCACAGTATGCTTCCTAGCCTCTGGTAACCATTCTTCTTCTCTATATTTCACTGAGTTCAATTATTTTAATTTTCAGTTCCTACAAATAAGTGAGAACACGTGATCTTAGTCCTTCGGTGCCTCACATATTTTACTTAACCTAATGACTTCTAGTTCTATCCATGTTGTTGCCAATGACTGAATCTCATTTTTTTTATGGCTGAATAGTATTCCACTATGAATAAGTACCACATTTTCTTTATTCATTTATCTGTTCATGAACACTTAGTTGGCTTCCAAATCTTGGCTATTGTGAATAGTGCTGCAATATTCATAGGAATGCAGATATCTCTTTGATATACTGATTTCCTTTCTTTTGAGTGTATGCCCAGCAGTGGAATTGCTAGATCACATGGCAGCTTATTTTTAGTTTTCTAAAGAACCTCTAAACTGTTCTTTATAGTGGTTGTACTAACTTACATTATCCCCAACAGTGTATGAGGGTTCCCTTTTTCCACATCCTCGCTAGCACTTGTATTCCCTATCAGATAAAAGCCATTTTAGCTAGCATGAGATAATACCTTATTGTAGTTTTGATTTGCATTTCTCTAATGTTGTGCGCCTTTTCATGTACCTGTTTGCCATTTGTATGTCTTCTTTTAAGAAATGGCTATTCAGAACTTTTGCCCATTTTTAAATCAGATTATTAAAATTTTCTCCTATAGAGTTGTTTTAGCTCCTTATATATTCTGGTTTTTAATCCCTTGTCAGATGAATAGTTTGCAAATTTTTTGCCCATTCTGTGGGTTTTGTCTTTACATTGTTGATTGTTTCCTTTGCTGTGCAGAAGGTATTTAACTTGATATAATTCCATTTGTCCATTTTTGCTTTGGTTGTCTATGCTTCCGTAGTGTTACTCAAAAAATCTTTGCCCAGTCCAAAGGACTGGGGAGTTTCTCCATTTTTTGTTATAGTTCCATAGTTTGAGGTGTTTAAGTCTCTGATTCATTTTGATTTGATTTTTGTATATGGCAAGAGTTGGGGGTCTAGGTTCATTCTTTTTCACATGGATATCTAGTTTCATTTTTCAGCACCATTTATTGAGGAGACTGTCCTCTCACCAACGTATGAATATTCTTGGCACCATTGTCAAAAATGAGTTCACTGTGGATGTATGAATTTATCTCTGAGTTTTGTAATCTGTTCCATTTATTTACATGTCGGTTTTTATGCCAGTACTACGACATTTTGATAACTACAGTGTAATTTAAAGTCAGGTATTGTGATTCCTACAGTTTTGTTATTTTTGCTCAAGATAGCTTTGGCTATTTCAGGTCTTTTGTGGTTTCATACACATTTTAGAATTTTTTTTTGATTCTGTGAAGAATGTCAATGGTATCTTGATAAGGACTGCATTGAATCTGGAGATTGCTTTGGGTAGTACGAACATATTAAAAATATTGATTCTTCCAACCCACGAACAAGGAATTTTTACATTTTTTTCACATCCTCTTTAATTTATTGCATTGATGTTTTATAGTTTTCATTGTGAGGGTCTTCTACTTCTTTGGTTAACGTAATTCCTAGGTATTTAATTTTATTTGTAGCTATTGTAAATGAAATTTTTAAATTTCTTTTTCATATTGTTTACCATTGGCAGATAGAAATGCTACCAATTTTTGTAGATTGATTTTTGTATCCTGCAATCTTACTGAATTTGTCTATCAGCTATTATAGTTTTTTGGTGGAGTCTTCAGGTTTTTCCAAATATAAGAACACATAATATGCAAACAAGGATAATTTGAGTTTTTCCTCTCCCATCTGGATGCCCTTTATTTCTTTATCTTGTCTAATTGCTCTTCCTAGAACTTCCAACGCTATGTTGAATAACAGTGTTGAAAGTGGGCATCCTTGCCATGTTTCTGATCTTAGAGGAGAGGTTTTCAGTTTTTCCAGACTCAGTATAATACTATGTGTGGGTCTGTTGTATATGGTTTTTATTATGCTGAAGTGTTTCTTCTTTACCTGTTTTTTTTGAGAATTTTCATGATGACGGCATTTTTAATCTTGTCAATTGATTTTTCAGAATCAGTTGAAATGATTATATGTTTTTCGTTCTTTCTTCTGTTGATACAGTGTGTTACATTACATTGATTTGCATATGTTGAAGCATTTTTGCATCCCTAGGATAAATCTGACTTGGTCATGATGAACAATTTTTTAATGTGTTGTTGAATTTTGTTTGCTAGTATTTGCATCAATATTCATCAATCATATTGGCCAATAGTTTTCTTTCTTTTTTTTAATGTATCTTGGTTTGGTTTTGGTATCAGAGTAATGCTGTACTTGTAGAGTGAGTTTGGAAGTATTTTTGGCTTCCCTGGCAGTTCTGTTTTAAGTTCTTTTTTTTTTTTTTTCAAGCTATTTTAAGTTCTGGGGTACATGTGCAGGATGTTCACATTTGTTACAAAGGAAATGGTGGTTTCCTGCTGAGATCAACCCATCACATAGGTATTAAGCCCAGCATCCACTAGCTATTCTTCCTGATGCTATCCCTTCCCCTGAGCCCCTCACAAGCCCCAATGTGTCTTGTTTCCCTCCCTGTTGTCCATGTGTTCTTATTGTTCAGATCCCACTTACAAGTGAGAACATACCGTTTTTGGTTGGTTGTTCCTGCATTAGTTTGCTGAGGATAATGACTTCCAGCTCCACCCACGTCCATGTCCCTGCAAAGAACATGATCTCATTCCTGTTTAGGGCTGAAAGTATTCCATGGTGTATATGTACCACCTTTTCTTTATCCATTCTATTATTGATGGGCATTTGGGTTGATTCCATGTCTTTGCTAGTGTGAATAGTGCTGCAATGAACATATGCTTGCATGTATCTTTATAATAGAATGATTTATATTTCTTTGGATATAAAAATCTCCAAACTACTTTCCACATTAGCTGAATTAATTTATGTTCCCACCAACAATGTATAGGCATTCCTTATTTATTTATTTATTTATTTATTTATTTATTTATTTATTTATTTTTGAGATGGAGTCTTACTCTCTCACACAGGCTGGAATGCAGTGGCGCAATCTCGGCTCACTGCAACCTCCATCTCCCAGGTTCAAGTGATTATCCTGCCTCAGCCTCCTGGGTAGCTGGGTCTACAGGCATGTGTCACCACACCCGGCTAAATTTTGTATTTTTAGTAGAGATGGGGTTTCACCATGTTGGCCAGGCTGGTCTTGCACTCCTGACCTCAAGTGATCCACCTGCCTCAGCCTCTCAAAGTGCTGGGATTACAGGCATGAGCCATCGTGCTGGACAGCATTCCTTTTTCTTCACAGCCTTGCCACCATTCATTATGTTTTGACTTTTATTTTCACAAAAATTATAAGAGGAGAAAACACTTCTCAATTTACTTTATGAGACTAATATTATCTTGGTATCAGAACCAGATGAAAATACCACATGTAAAGAATAGTATGGATGATTACTGGGTATATATACCCAAAGGAATATAAATCATTCTATTATAAAGATACATTACATGCATGCTACCAAATTTTGTATACTGGAGGATAGTTTGACTTCTTCTTTTCCTATTTGGATGCCTTTTATTTTCTTCTGTTGCCTGATCACTCTGGCTAGGACTTCCAGTTCTATGTGGAATAGCTGTAGTGAGAGAAGGCATCCTTGTCTTGTGCTGGTTTTCAGAAGGAATGCTTCCACCTTTTCCCCATTCACTATGATTGGCTATGAATTTGGTTATGAGTTTGTCATAGAGGGCTCTTTTTTTCTTTTTTTTGAGACGGAGTCTCGCTCTTTCGCCCAGGTCGGACTGCAGTGGCGCTATCGCGGCTCACTGCAAGCTCCACCTCCCGGGTTCACTCCATTCTCCTGCCTCAGCCTCTCGAGTAGCTGGGACTACAGGCATCCGCCACCGCGCCCGACTAATTTTTTGTATTTTTAGTAGAGATGGGGTTTCACCGTGTTAGCCAAGATGGTCTCGATCTCCTGACCTCGTGATCCACCTGCCTCGGCCTCCCAAAGTGCTGGGATTACAGGAGTGAGCCACCGCGCCCGGCCAGAGGGCTGTTTTAAAATTTTACTTTAAGTTCTCGGGTACATGTACAGTACATGCAGTTTTGTTACATAGGTATACATGTACCATAGTGGTTTGCTGCACATATTGACTTGTCTTCTATGTTCTCTCCCTTTCCCCTTCATGCCCCAAAAGGCCCTGGTGTGTGTTGTTCCCCTCCCTGTGTCCATGTGTTCTCATTGTTCAACTTCCACTTTTGATTGAGAACATGCAGTGTTTGGTTTTCTGTTCTTGTTTTAGTTTGCTGAGGACAATGACTTTCAGCTTCATCCATGTAAAGGGCATGATCTCATTCCTTTTTATGGCTGCATAGTATTCCACGGTGTATGTGTACCACATTTTCTTTATCCAGTCTATCATTGCTGAGCATTTTGGGTTGGTTCCATGACTTTGCTATCATAAATAGTGCTGCAATAAACATATGTGTGCATATGTCTTTATAGTAGATTGATTTATATTCATTTGGGTATATACCCAGTAATGGGATTGCCTGGTCAAATGGTATTTCTGCCTCCAGATCCTTGAGGAATTGCCATACTGTCCTCCACAATGGTTGAACTAATTTACATTCCCACTGGAAAAGCGTTCCTATTTCTCCACAGCCTCACCAGCATCTATTGTTTCTTGACTTTTTAATAATCGCCTTTCTGACTGGCATGAGATTGTATCTCATTGTGGTTTTGATTTGTATTTCTCTAATGATCAGTGATGTTGAGTTTTTTTTCATGCTTGTTGGCTGCATAAATGTCTTCTTTTGAGAAGTGTCTGTTTATATTTTTTGCTCACTTTTTGATGGGGTTGTTTGGTTTTTTCCTTGTAAATTTGTGTAAGTTCCTTGTAAATTCTGGATATTAGACCTTTCTCAGGTGGGTAAATTGCAAAAATTTTCTCCAGTTCTGTAGTTTGCCTGTTCACTCTGTTGATAGTTTCTGTTGCTGTGCAGAAGCTCTTTAGTGTAATTAGATCCCATTTGTCAATTTTGGCTTTTGTTGCAATTGTTTTTTTGGCATTTGCAGCATGAAGTCTTTGCCCGTGTCTATGTCCTGAATGATATTGCCTAGGTTTTCTTCTAAGGTCTTTATGGTTTTGGGTATTACATTTAAGCCTTTAATCCATATTGAGTTAATTTTTGTATAAAGGGTAAGGGACAGGTCCAGTTTCAGTTTTCTGCATATGGCTAGCCAGTTTTCCCAGAACCATTTACTGAACAGGAGATCTTTTCCCCATTCCTTGTTTTTATGAGGTTTGTAGAAGATCAGATGATTGTAGATGTGTGGTATTATTTCTGAGGTCTCTGTTCTGTTGCAGTGGTCTATAAATCTTTTATGGTATGAGTACCATGCTGTTTTGGTTACTGTAGTCTTATAGGATAGTTTGAATTCAGGTAGCATGATGCCTCCAGCTTTGTTCTTTTTGCTTAGGATTGTCTTGGCTATACGGGTCTTCTTTGATTCCATATGAAATTAAAGTAGTATTTTTCTAATTCTGTGAAGAATGTCAATGGTAGTTTGATGGAAATTGCACTGAATCTATAAATTACTTTGGGTAGTATGGCAATTTTCACAATAGTGATTCTTCCTATCCATGAAGATGAAATGTTTTTCCATTTGTTTCTGTCTTCTCTGATTTTCTTGAGCAGGGGTTTGTAGTTCTCCTTGAAGAGGTCCTGAACATCCCTAGTTAGCTTTATTCCTAGGTATTTTATTCTTTTTGTAGCAGTTGTGAATGGGAGTTCATTCACAATTTTGCTCTCTGCTTGTATACTGTTGGTGTAAAGGAATGTTTATGATTTTTCCACATTGGTTTTTGTATCCTGAGACTTTGTTGAAGTTGCTTATCAGCTTAAGGAGTTTTGGGGCTGAGATGATGCGTTTTTCTAAATATAGAATCATGTGATTTGCAAACAGAGATAATTTGACTTTCTGTCTCCCTATTTGAATATCTTTATTTTTTTCTCTTGCCTGACTGCACTTGCCAGAACTTCCAATACTATGTTGAATTGGAGTGGTGAGAGAGGGCATCCTTTCCTTGTACCAGTTTTCAGTGGTAATTCTTCCAGCTTTTGCCCATTTAATATGATACTGGCTGTGGGTTAGTCATGAATAGCTCTTATTATTTTGAGATATGTTCCATCAATACCTACTTTATTGACAGTTTTTAAAATAAAGGGATGTTGAATTTTGTTGAAGGCTATTTCTGCATCTATTGAGATAATCATGTGTTTTTTGTCTTTGTTTCTGTTTATGTGATGGATTTAATTTATTGATTCACATAGGTTGAACAAGCTTTGCATCTCAAGGATGAAGTTGACTTGATATGGTGGATACATTTTTTTATATGCTACTTGATTTGGCTTACCAGTATTTTATTGAGGATTTTTGCATTGATGTTCATCAGGGATATTAGCCTGAAGTTTTCTTTTTTTGTTGTGTCTCTGTCAGGTTTTGGTATCAGGATGATACTGGCTTTATAAAGTGAGTTAGGGAAGAGTCCCTCTTTTTGCAATAGTTTCGGAAGGAATGTTACCAGCTTTTCTTTGTACCTCTGGTAGAATTAGGTTGTGAATCCGTCTGGTCCTGGGCTTTTTTTTGGTTGGTAGGCTATTGATTACTGCCTCAATTTCAGAACTTGTTATTGGTCTATTCTGGAATTCGACTTCTTTCTGGTTTAGTCTTGTGAGAGTGTATGAGTCCAGAAATTTATTCATTTCTTCTTGATTCTAGTTTATTTGCATAGAGGTGTTTATAGTATTCTCTGATGGTACTTTGTATGTCTGTGGGGTCAGTGGTGATATCCCTTTTAACATTTTTTATTGTGTCTATTTGATTCTTCTCTATTTTCTTCTTTATTCTTCCAGCTAGTGGTCTATTTTGTTATTTTTTTCAAAAGAACTAGCTCCTGGATTCATTGACTTTGGGGAAGATTTTTCATGTCTCTATCTCCTTCAATTCTGCTCTGGTCTTAGTTATTTCTAGTCTTCTGCTAACTTTTGGATTAGTTTGCTCTCGCCTCTCTAGCTCTTTTAATTGTGCTATTATGCAGTCATTTTCAGATCTTTCTAGAATTCTGACATGGATATTTAGTGCTACAAATTTTCCTGTTAACACTGCTTTAGCTGTTTCCCAGAGATTCTGATATGCTGTCTCTTTGTCCTCATTAGTTTCAAAGGACTTCTTGTTTCTCCCCTAATTTCATTATTTACCTAGGAGCCATTCAGGAGCAGGTTGTTCAGTTTCCATGAAATTGTGTGGTTTAGAGTGAATGTCTTAATCCTGAGTTCTAATTTGATTGCACTGTGGTCTGAGAGACTGTTTGTTAGATTTCCACTCTTTTGCATTTGCTGAGGAGTATTTTACTTCCAATTATATGGTTGATTTTAGAATAAATGCCATGTGGTGCTGAAAATAATGTATATTCTGTGGATTTGGGGTGAAGAGTTCTACAGATGTCTATTAGGTCCATTTAATCCAGAGCTGAGTTCAAGTCCTGAATATCCTTGTTGATTTTCTATCTTGTTGATTTGTCTAATATTGACAATGGAGTGTTAAAATCTCCCACTATTACTGTGTGGGAGTCTAAGTCTCTTTGTAGGTCTTTAAGAACTTGTTTTATGAATCTGGGTGCTCCTGTATTGGGTGCATATATATTTAGGATAGTTAGCTCTTCTTGTTGAATTGATCCATTTACTACTGTGTAATGTCCTTCTTTGTCTCTTTTGATCTTTGTTGGTTTAAAGTCTGTTTTATCAGAGACTAGCATTGCAACCCCTGCTTTTTGTTTTTTGTTTGTTTGTTTTTTGCTTTCCATTTGCTTGATAAATTTTCTTCCATCCCTTTATTCTGAGCCTATGTGTATCTTTGCATGTGAGATGGGTCTCCTGAATACAGCACACCAATGGGTCTTGACCCTTTATCCAATTTGCCATTCGGTGTCTTTTAATTGGGGCATTTAGCCCATTTACATTTAAGGTTATTATTGTTATGTGTGAATTTGATCCTGTCATCATGATGCTATCTGGCTATTTTGCAAACTAGTTGGTGCACTTTCTTCATAGTGTCATTGTTCTTTATAATTTGCTGTGCTTTTTGCAGTGACTGGTACTGGTTTTTACTTTCCATATTTAGTGCTTCCTTCATAAGCTGTTTTAAGGCAGGCCTGGTGGTGAAGAAATCCCTCAGCATTTGCTTGTCTGGAAAGGATTATGAAGCTTAGTTTGGCTAGATAAGAAATTCTGGGTTGAAAATTCTTTTCTTTAAGAATATTGAATATTTGCCTCTAATCTCTTCTGGCTGGTAGAGTTTCTGCTGAGAGGTCTGCTGTTAGTCTGATGGGCTTCCCTTGGTAGGTTGGCTGGCCTTTTTCTCTAGCTGCCCTTAACATTTTTTCTTTCATTTCGACCTTGGAGAATCTGATGATTATGTGTCTTGGGGTTGATCTTCTCATGGAGTATCTTAATGGTGTTCCCTGTATTTCCTGAATTTGTGTGCTGGCCTGTCTTGTTAGATTAGGGAAGTTCTCCTGGATAATATCCTGAAGTATATTTTCTAGCATGTTTCCATTCTTCTCGTCTCCTTCAGGTACTCCACTCAATCATAGGCTTGGTCTTTTTACTTGGTCCCATATTTCTTGGAGGCTTTGTTCATTCCTTTTCATTTTTTTTTCCTCTAATATTGTCTGGATGCCTTATTTCAGCAAGGTAGTTTTCAAACTCTGATAACCTTTCTTCTTCTAGGTCAATTCAGCTATTGATACTTGTGTATTGTTCACGAAGTTTTCGTGCTGTTTTTCAGCTCCATCAGGTCATTTATGTTCCTCTCTAAACTGGTTATTCTAGTTAGCAGCTCCTCTAACCTTTTATCAAGATTCTTAGCTTCTTTGCATTGGGTTAGAACATGTTCATTTACCTCGGCAGAGTTTTATGTTACCTACCTTCTGAAGCTTACTGCTGTCAATTTGACCATCTTATCTTCCATCCAGTTCTGTGCCCTTGCTGGAGAGGCACTACAATCATTTGGAGGAGAAGAGGCACTTTGACCTTTTGCGTTTTCAGCATTTTTTCATTGATTATTTCTCATCTTCATGAGTTTATCTAGTTTCAATCTTTGAGGCTGCTGACCCTTGGATATGGTTTTTGTGGAGACTTCTGTTTTTCTTGTTGATGCTGTTGTTGTTGCTTTCTGCTATTTGTTTGTTTTTCTTTCAATGGTCAGGTCCTTCTTCTGTAGGGCTGCTGTGATTTGCTGGGGGTTTGGGACCTATTCATCTAGTTTGTCCCCACACCTGATGATGTCACTCAAGGAGGCTGGAGAACAGCAAAGATGGGTGCCTGTTCCTTCTTCTGGGATCTTCTGACCTTGAGGGGCAACAACCTGATAACCGTAGGATTGCTCCTGTATAAAGTGTTGGAGAGTCTCACCCTGATGGAGGGTCTCACCCTGTTGGGTAGCACAGGGAATAGGACCCATTTAACAAAGCACTTTGACTGTCTTTTGGTGGAGGGAGTCTGCTTTGCTGGGGGGAACCGACTCATCTGGGCTGCCTGGATTCCTCAGAACTACCAGTAAAAAAGGCTAAGTCTGCTGGTCCACGGAGACTGCAGCCAGCCTTCCCCCTAGGGGCTCAGGCTCAGGGAGATCAGGGTTCTGTCCCTGAGCCTCTAGCTGGAGTTGTTGGAGTTCTTGCAGGGAGGCCCCTCCCAGTGAGGTGGGATGGGTCAGGGTAAGCCCTGAAGAGGCACTCTGTCCACAGTCTGCCACAGCTGGTGTGTGGGGCTGTGGGAGACACCTATTGGGACTAAGCTGTCCAGCCTCCCTGGCTCCAGCGGGGGGAAAAGCATGGCCTGGAGCTATAGAGATAGATGTGGTCCTTCCCCTGCCTAGGGAGCTGAGCATGTTAGGCAGTTATGAGTCTCAGTGCTGGCTGCCGACCCTCCCCCAAGGAATTCAAATGGCTTAGATAGCAGGCAGCCACAGCTGTGGTGCTAGTCGCCCCTCCCGCTGGAAACTAGGCAAGCTTAAGTTGATTCTAGCTGAGAGGCTTTGAAAATCTGCCCGCTCCAGGTTTGGGACCCTAGGCCCTGGTGGCATGAGTTCATGAGTGAGATCTTTTGACCCATGCGTTGCGCAGGTCCATGGAAAAAACATGGTTACCCTGGCTGTGTAGCATGCTCACTCACCACCTCCCTTGGCTGGGATGTGGGGCTCCCCTGCCCCTTGTGGCTCTCAGGTAGCCTGCCAGACCACATTGGTCTTCCTTCCTCTCTGGGAATCCCGCCAGCCACCTAGTCAGTTCTGATGAGAGAACCTGGATACCTTGGTTGCTGTTGAAGGATTCACATGATAATATGGCTCTTTTCTATGTGAGCCTCTGATTTGCTGCTGCTTCTAGTTGGCCATCTTGGCCCTGCCCACCTAGATGGCTCTTATTATTTTGATATATGTTCTTTGCTGCCTAATTTGTTAACAGTTTTTATCATGAAGGGATATTGGATTTTATCAGCAGCTTTTTCTGTGTCTGGTTTTTGTTTTAAATCCTGTTTATGTGGTGAATCTTATTTATTGACTTGTGTATGCTGAATTAACCTTGCATTCGGGGAATGAAGAGCACTGGACTGTGGTGAACTACCTTTTGAAGTGCTGTTGTATTCAGTTTGCTAGTATTTTGTTGAGCAAAGTAAAACTTTTTTAGTGTTGACATGATATTCAAAGAAAATGCTTATTGAAGATGGCTGAATAGGAACAGCTCCAGTCTGCAGCTCCCAGAGTGATCGATGCAGAAGACAGGTGACTTCTGCATTTCCAACTGAGGTACCTGATTCATCTCACTGGGACAGGTTGGACAGTGGGTGCAGCCCACAGAGGGCAAGCTGAAGCAGGGCAGGACATCGCCTCACCCGGCAAGCACAAGAGTTCAGGGGATTTCCCTTTCCTAGCCAAGGGAAGCCATGACAGACTGTACCTGGAAAAACAGGACACTCCCACCCAAATACTGAGTTTTTCCCATGATCTTAGCAAGCGGCAGACCAGGAGACTCTTTCCCGTGCCTGGGTTGGTATGTTCCACGCCCATGGAGCCTTGCTCACTACTAGCACAGCTGTCTGAGATCGAACTACGAGGCGGAAGCCTGGCTGGGGGAGGGGCATCCACCATTACTGAGGCTTGAGTAGGTAAACAAAGCAGCCAGGAAGCTCAAACTGAACAGAGCCCAGCACAGCTCAGCAAGGCCTACTGGTCTATAGACTCCACCTCTGTGGGGAGGACATAGCTGAACAAAAGGCAGCAGACAACTTCTGCAGACTTAAACATCCCTGGTTGACAGATCTGAAGAGAGCAGTGATTCTCCCAGCATGGCGTCTGAGCTCTGAGAATGGACACACAGACTCCTCAAGTGGGTCCCTGACCCCTGTGTAGCCTAACTGGGAGACACCTCCCAGTAGGGGCCGACAGACACTTCATATAGGCAGGTGCTCCTCTGGGACAAAGCTTCCAGAGGAAGGATCAGGCAACAATATTTGCTGTTCTGCAGCCTCCGCTGGTGATACCCAGGCAAACAGGGTCTGGAGTGGACCTCCAGCAAACTCCAATAGATCTGCAGCTGAAGGACCTGACTGTTACAAGGAAAACTGACTGACAGAGAGGAATAGCATCAACATCAACAAAAAGGACATCTACACCAAAACACCATCTGTAGGTCACCAACATCAAAGACCAGAGGTAGATAAAACCACCAAGATGGGGAGAAGCCAGAGCAGGAAAGCTGAAAATTCTAAAAACCAAAGCGCCTCTTCTCCTCCAAAGGATTGCAGCTCTTTGCCAGCAACAGAACAAAGCTGGATGGAGAATGACTTTCACAAGTTGACAGAACTAGGTTTCAGATGGTCGGTAATAACAACCTTCTCCGAGCTAAAGGAGCACGTTCGAACCCATCAAAAGGAAGCTAAAAACCTTGAAAAAAGGTTAGACAAATGGCTAACTAGAATAAATAGTGTAGAGAAGACCTTAAATGACCTGATGGAGCTGAAAACCATGGCACAAGAACTTCGTGAGGCATGCATAAGCTTCAATAGCCGATTTGATCAAGTGGAAGAAAGGGTATCAGTGATTGAAGATCAAATTAATGAAATAAAGCAAGAAGACAAGGTTAGAGAAAAAAGAGTAAAAAGAAAGAAACAAAGCCTCTAAGAAATATGGGACTATGTTTGATCAAGTGGAAGAAAGGGTATCAGTGATTGAAGATCAAATTAATGAAATAAAGCAAGAAGACAAGGTTAGAGAAAAAAGAGTAAAAAGAAAGAAACAAAGCCTCTAAGAAATATGGGACTATGTGAAAAGACCAAATCTACATTTGATTCATGTACCTGAAAGTGATGGGGAGAATGGAACCAAGTTGGAAAACGCTCTTCAGGATATTATCTAGGAGAACTTCACCAACCTAGCAAAGCAGGCCAACATTCAAATTCAGGAAATGTAGAGAATGCCACAAAGATACTCCTTGAGAAGAGCAACCCCAAGACACATAATTGTCAGATTCACCAATGTGGAAATGAAGGAAAAAATGTTAAGGGCAGCCAGAGAGAAAGGTCAAGTTACCCACAAAGGGAAGCCCATCAGACTAACAGTGTATTTCTTGGCAGAAACCCTACAAGCCAGAAGAGAGTAGGGGCCAATATTCCACATTCTTAAAGAAAAGAATTTTCATCCCAGAATTTCATATCCAGCTAAACTAAGCTTTATAAGTAAAGGAGCAATAAAATTCTTTACAGATAAGCAAATGCTGAGAGATTTTGTCACCACGAGGTCTGCCTTACAAGAGCTCCTAAAGGAAGCACTAAACATGGAAAGAAACAATCAGTATCAGCTACTGCAAAAACATGCCAAATTGTAAAGACCATTGATACTATGAAGCAACTGCATCAATTAATGGGCAAAATAGCCAGCTAACATCATAATGACAGGATCAAATTCACACATAACGATATTAACCTTAAATGTAAATGGGCTGAATGGCCCAATTAAAAGACACAGACTGGCAAATTGGATAAAGAGTCAAGACCCATCAGTGTGCTGTATTCAGGAGACCCATCTCATGTGCAGAGACACACATAGTCTCAAAATAAAGGAATGGAAGAAGATCTACCAAGCAAATGGAAAGCCAAAAAAAAAAAAAAAAAAAAAAAAAAAAAAGCAGGGTTTGCAATCCTAGTCTCTGATAAAACAGACTTTAAACAAACAAAGATCAAAAGAGACAAAGAAGGCCATTACATAATGGTAAAGGGATCAATTCAACAAGAAGAGTTAACTACTGTAAATATATATGCACCCAATACAGGAGCACCCAGATTCAAAAAGCAAGTCCTTAGAGACCTACAAAGAGACTTAGACTCCCACACAATAATAATGGGAGACTTTAACACCCCACTGTCAATATTAGACAGATCAACAAGACAGAAGGTTAACAAGGATATCCAGGACTTGAACTCAGCTCTACACCAAGTGGACCTAATAGACATCTATGGAACTCTCCACCCCAAATCAACAGAATATACATTCTTCTCAGTACTACGTCACACTTATTCTAAAATTGACCACATAATTGGAAGTAAAGCACTCCTCAGCAAATGTAAAAGAACAGAAATTGCAATAAACTGTCTCTCAGACCACAGTGTAATCAAAATAGATCTTAGGATTAAGAAGTTCACTCAAAACTGCACAACCACATAAAAACTGAAAACCTGCTCCTGAATGACTACTGGGTAAATAACTAAATGAAGGCAGAAATAAAGACACTCTTTGAAACCAATGAGAACAAAGACACAATGTACCAGAATCTCTGGGACACATTTAAAGCAGTGTATAGAGAGAAATTTATAGCACTAAATGCCCACAGAGAAAACAGGAAAGATCTAAAATCAACACACTAACATCACAATTAAAAGAACTAGAGAAGCAACAAATTCAAAAGCTAGCAGAAGGCAAGAAATAACTAAGATCAGAGCAGAACTGAAAGAGATAGAGACAGAAAAAAAACCTTCAAAAAATCACTGAATCCAGGATCTGGTTTTTTGAAAAGATCAACCAAATTGATAGACCACTAGCAAGACTAATAAAGAAGAAAGGAGAGAATAATCAAATAGACGCAATAAAAAATGATAAAGGGGATATCACCACCGATCCCACAGAAATACAAACTACCATCAGAGAATACTATAAACACCTCTATGCAAATAAACTAGAAAATCTAGAAGAAATGGATAAATTCCTGGACACATACACCCTCCCAAGACCAAACCAGGAAGAAGTTGAATCTCTGAATAGACCAATAACAGGTTCTGAAATTGAGGCAATAATTAATAGCCTACCAACCAAAAAAAGTCCAGGACCAGACAGATTCACAGCCGAATTCTACCAGAGGTACAAAGAGGAGCTGGTACTATTCCTTCTGAAAATTTCCAATCAATAGAAAAAGGGGGAATCCTCCCTACCTCATTTTATGAGGCCAGCATCATCCTAATACCAAAGCCTGGGAGAGACACAACAAAAAAAGATAATTTTAGACCAATATCCCTGATGTACATCGATGCGAAAATCCTCAGTAAAATACTGGCAAAACGAATCCAGCAGCACGTCAAAAAGCTTATCCACTATGTTCAATCGGCTTCATCCCTGGGATGCAAGGCTAGTTCAACACATGCAAATCAATAAACGTAATCCATCACATAAACAGAACTACTGACAGAAACCACATGATTATCTCAATAGATGCAGAAAAGGCCTTCAACAAAATTCAACACCCCTTCATGCTAAAAACTCTGAATAAACTAGGTATTGATAGAACACATCTCAAAATAATAAGAGCTGTTTATGACAAACCCACAGCCAATATCATACTGAATGGGCAAAAACTGGAAGCATTCCCTTTGAAAACTGGCACAAGACAGGGATGCCCTCTCTCACCACTACTATTCAACATAGTGTTGGAAGTTCTGGCCAGGGCAATCAGGCAAGAGAAGGAAATAAAGGTATTCAATTAGGAAAAGAGGAAGTCAAATTGTCTCTGTTTTCAGATGACATGATTGTATATTTAGAAACCTCATCGTCTCAGCCCAAAATCTCCTTAAGCTGATAAGCAACTTCAGCGAAGTCTCAGGATACAAAATCAATGTGCAAAAATCACAAGCATTCCTATACACCAATAAGAGACAAACAGAGAGCCAAATCATGAGTGAACTCCCATTCACAATTGCTACAAAGAGAATAAAATACCTAGGGATCCAACTTACAAGGGAAGTGAAGGACCTTCCTTCAAGTGAAGGAGCTGCTCAACGAAATAAAAGAGGACACAAACAAATGGAAGAACATTCCACGCTCATGGATAGGAAGAATCCATATCATGAAAATGGCCATACTGCCCAAGATAATTTATAGATTCAATGCAATCCCCATTAAACTACCAATGACTTTCTTCACGGAATTGGAAAAAACTACTTTAAAGTTCATATGGAACTAAAAAAGATTCCACATTGCCAAGAAAATCCTAAGCAAAAAGAACAAAGCTGGAGGCATCACGCTACCTGATTTCAAAGTATCCTACAAGGCTACAGTAACCAAAACAGCACGGTTCTGGTATCAAAACAGATATATACACCGATGGAACAGAACAGAGCCCTCAGAAATAATACCACACATCTATAACCATCTGATCTTTGACAAACCTGACAGAAACAAGAAATGGGGAAAGGATTCCCTATTTAATAAATGGTGCTGGGAAAACTGGCTAGCCATATGTAGAAAACTGAAACTGGATCTCTTCCTTACACCTTATACAAAAATTAATTCAAGATGGATTAAAGATTTAATGTTAGTCCTAAAACCATTAAAACCCTAGAAGAAAACCTAGGCAATACCATTCAGGACATAGTCAAGGGCAAGGACTTCATGACTAAAACACCAAAAGCAATAGCAATGAAAGCCGAAATAGACAAATGGGATCTAATTAAACTAAAGAGCTTCTGCATGGCAAAATAAACTACCATCAGAGTAAACAGGCAACCTATAGAATGGGAGAAAATTTTTGCAATCTACCCATCTGACAAAGGGCTAATATCCAGAATCTACAAAGAACTCAAACAAATTAACAAGGAAAAAAAAAACCCATCAAAAAGTGGGCTAAAGATATGAGCAGACACTTCTCAAAAGAAGCCGTTTATTGCAGCCAACAGACACAACATAAAATGCTTATCATCACTGATCATCAGAGAAATGCAAATCAAAACCCCTTTGAGATACCATCTCACACCAATTAGAATGGTGATCATTAAAACGTCAGGAAACAACAGATGCTGGAGAGTATGTGGAGAAATAGGAACACTTTTACACTGTTGGTGGGAGTGTAAATTAGTTCAACCATTGTGGAAGACAGTGTGGCGATTCCTCAAGGATCTAGAACTAGAAATACCATTTGACTCAGCAATCCCCTTACCAGGTGTATACCCAAAGGATTATGTATCATGTTACTGTAAAGACACATGCACACGTATGTTTATTGTGGCACTATTCACAATAGCAAAGACTTGGAACCAACCCAAATGTCCATCAATGATAGACTGGATTAAGAAAATGTTGCACGTATACACCATGGAATACTATGCAGCCATAAAAAATGATGGGTTCGTGGCCTTTGCAGGGACATGGATTAAGCTGGAAACCATCATTCTGAGCAAACTATCACAAGGACAGAAAACCAAACACCGTATGTTCTCACTTATAGGTGGCAACTGAACAATGAGAACACTTGCACACAGAGCAGGGAACATCACACACTGGGGCCTGTCAGGAGGTGGAGGGCTGGGGGAGGGATAGCATTAGGAGAAATACCTAATGTAAATGAAGAGTTGATGGGTGCAGCAAACCAACATGGCACATATATACCTATATATCAAGCCTGCACGTTGTGCACATGTACCCTAGAACTTAAAGTATAATAATAATAATAATAATAATAATAATAACAACAACAATAAATAACCATTTTCCTCTTTAAAAAAAAGAAAATGCTTATTGAAGAATTTCAGATTTCAGGTTTTTGGATTTGGGATGATCACCTGGTAATTATAATGTGGATATTCCAAAATTCAGAAAGTTCTGAAATCCAAAACACTTTTTGTTCTCAGCATTTTGGAATAGCAGTACTCTACCTGTAATATAATAAACAGTGAATACTGAAGGAATATTTTCCTTCTGATCAGTGCAGTGTACATTGCTCTTCTCTCAAAGTTCTGTTCTTAGTGCCCTCTTTCTGTGGGTCAGTTGATTATTTTTGAGGTGACCATAAGATTATGAATGCTCACTTTTAGGTGTTTCTCTCTAATTTCAGCAGGGGAATATTTACACACAGCGTGGACACTTTCCTTTTCAGAGTGTGTATATTACCACTGGTGGTGTGACTTTATAACTTGCATATCTTTTAGTGGGGCCATTTTTTAAATGTTTATTTTTTTCTCATAGGAAGTCAGGAATTCCCTCATTGTGCACCTGTTTTTAGAGTCATGTCTGTTAAAAAAACAAACATTTACTTAAGCATTCCATTAAGTCTGATATAAAAACAAAAGGGTGTCCTGTTTTTGTTGTTGTTTTTCACCCCATTGAAAAAACAGGAGCTGAATGTAGAAAAGGTTATGGATTTAGTCTTTAGACTTGACTCATAAGACCTGAACTGGCTAATAGCACCATTTTTTTTCTTTAATAAACCATTTTCTGGGCTTTCTCCTTTAGGAACACAGATATAAATTACAGCAGGTACCCGACTTCAAAGAATTTAGAACTTAGCAGGAGAGATGGGGAGAAGAAAGGCAGTTATGACAGTGACAGAATGGTGTGCAAAGGGGATCTTTTTTCCCAAATCCCAGAGCTTACTATTGAAAAATCCATGAACAAGATCTGCATATTTGTACCTTTAGCTAAGAGAATTGAGAAATACAAAGTAAATTTTGATTAACGCTTTCATCCCTAATAGCTCAGTCTCCTTGAGAAGGTATGACAGTCAACAAACATAAAAGTATTAGCAGACAGAACATACAACTATGAAGAAACACTACAGTGCACTGAATGCAAAATTATGCACCTGCATCACCTGCATTGTGCAAGGAAAAAGAGTTTAGGGTCAAATCAGTCACTCAGTGCTGTGAAGATTTTGAAGGACTGGAAGAACAACCAGTTGGGTTGTAATCATGAGCCTCTTCTAATCCTAAACTCAAAAAAGGTAAGATGAATTTCTGACCTCTTGAAAACTTTCAAAGTTCAACACCTCACTGTCTTTTACTTTCTCCTTTTACTAACTATTCTTCTGGGCATCTCTCTTTTGTACAATCACACATTAATTGTACTACAGCCTGAGACTGCTTCTACAATCAGCCTTTGTTCAGGGAATATCAAAAAGCAGAGGTAAACTTTCACTTTTGGTAAAAATTAAATATTATGGCCATATTAGGTAGCTAAAGGAAAGCATGCCATGGAGTAGAGAAGAGGGTTTCTTCAGCACTATTTCCACCAAAGGTTAAGACAACAATGAGACAGAAAAGCGAAGGCACCTTCAGGATCCAATAACACAGTTTAAACAGGAAATATAAACTATCTGGTTAATTCTTATGAGGAAATAAAAGGAGGCTTGTTAGATTAAACTCCTTCAGAATTTGTGTTTTTATGTGATTAGAGAAACAAAAACTGAGCGATCAAAAAGAGGAGACAGATGGATAGAAGAAGGTGTGGGGACTACAGAGCAGGAAAAGGAAAAGGAGGGAAAAAAACAGGCTGAAGTGTCAACGCACATAACAATGTTGGTCGTTTCCATTCTTTGTTTCTTCCCACGGGAAGAAACTAGAGTCCAGTACTTGGATGCCAATTTGCTGATGACAAGGAATTTCTTGACAATGAGCCTAGAATTTCTAAGCAGCAGTCTCTCAATCTGTGATTACATATTTCCATTCTTTGCAATAAGTACATACACAGTTTACTTTCATTTTTCAGTCTGAGCCTTTTTTCAGTGCTGTAAGAAAGGACGGAGGCTGTTATCTATGGCAGGTGAGTCCTCTTCTGAATAGGAGTTTGGGACTGGGATCTTAGAAAATACTTTATTTATTGCTGTGTAATGAACACAAAACATGAAATGGGCCAATAGAGTGCATGCTGAATCTTTTTTCTTACTGGTTGTGTGTAGTTTGAATCACGGGAGCTAGTATTAGACACTGAAGGAGAGAATATGTTCTCCAGATGTCTTCTAGCTAGAAAGAAGTTAATTCCCTGCTTTCAGCTTCTGGTAATCAAAGGGAGAGTGAAGAAAGCAGAGGAAGTTATTATTTGTGTGAGAAAATTCTAGAAGTTTCCAAATGCACTCTGAAATTTTCTCTGTTTTCTATTGTTTCCAAATTATTGCCCAGATTATAAACCTTTCTCCCAGAATCAGATATGAGAGCTTCTGAGTTGTCGTCACCCTCTTTGCCATCTCTTATTGTGAATTACATTCTTGGTCTGTTTAAAGTTATTCCATTTTTCTCCCTTTCTCTTTAGTCCTTGTACTGACTACGTTACTGCAATATTTCACTGGTTGCTATCACAGTTGTTTTATTTTGTTTTGTTGTTAATTGATCTCCCTCTCTCCAGGACTTAACCTTCCAATTCTTCCTGCACACAACTTTCAGGTCTCCTGTCTTATACATAGAAGCTGAAAAAGCCTAAGGGATAGAGTCATGAGCTATTTAGACAGATAGTATTCCAGCAGGTCATATCGCTTCTTTGGCTTCATTCTCCTCACTGAAAAATAAATGGGACTAGATCAGTGGATTCTAAACCTTATATCACAGTAATGTGTAGTCACATAAAAAAAATTAGATGACTACCCATTTCCTTACCCTGAATAGATCAATCTTAAATAGCCTGCAGACATTTATTAATTTCTGTATATCTGCAGATAATCCCTATAAAGCTGATCTGGAATAGGTTTTTCTGCAGATTAGTATTATTAGGAAAGTCAGTCAGTTAGTTACCTGTCTCTGCTTACCTGCTAGTGATCTATTAATGTAATTCTTTTTGCTCAGGAACATATGGTTGCTCCCTATTGCGTTTTTAAAAATATGATTTTTCAGTCAAGTTTTTCTACCTTTTGAAATATGTGTATCCATTTTTTTCCATTAATCCCTGTAAAGTATGATTTCAGCTTCATAAAACAATTACTGTATTTACTTCACTCCTACTTCCTCGTCGTTGAGTTTATTTTCTCCTTTGATTCTCCCTGTAGTATAATTCTCTCTGGGGTTTATGTTTCACCTCACAATATTTAACTTAAGCTCCCAAAATATAGAGGTTGGTGGTTTTCTTCACTTGTCTTCTTCATGAAACTAATAAAGCATTTGGCTAGGCATCAGTTAGTCAAATTCATAAACATGGCTACCTCTTCAGCCAAGCAGGCTGATGTTACAGGTCATTGGATTTGAATCAAGGCATTAAAAAATAGACAGTAGAAATTGAAAGCCAGTAGTCAAAAACAAGTTGTGGTTTGATAATTATAAACAACCAACTTTAGTCAGCTATTGTTAACTAAAACTTCTGAGGAAGAGTATCCTTTAAAGTGTTTAAGCATTACATCACTGCCTGGAATCAAAACTGTGGTGCTGGTGAGTTGTTTCCTCTAATTGATTCTCTCCATTTTTACTATCACTGCAGCTTTCATTCAGTGATTATTACAATAACAAAAAAATACATATAATAATGGTTTCTTTAAAAAATACTTACCATATGACAGCTATTTCATGCAGTCTCTCTGATTTAATATTTTAAACCAAGCAATACAGTTGTGCTATTATTGCCATATTATAGTTGAAGGGGATTCTGAGAGAATGCCTTCAGAGCATGCTTTAGGTCAAAAGTCAGTTGAGAGGAGTGATCTCAGGTCGGCATGACTCTCAAACTCTGCCACTACTCTAATTTTCTGAAAATATCCGCTGAGGTTGTGGGGTGATGCTGAGGTTGTGAAAATATCTTCAAATACCTGCCCTGTCTCTGATCACTGCCACTTCAGCCTCGGATGCACACTTCTTTTCCTTCTAAAGCCAAGCTCTCCTAACTTTCTGGTTACATCAGACACCCTCAAGCCTTTTTGCTTCTTCTCACACTGCTCCTTGACAGGAGACCAGCCGCCAGTTGTCCAAGGGGCAAATTCCTACCAGTTCTTCAGGTCTCAGTGCCAAGCCATCCCTCATCTGGACAGCTATCGTCTACCTGAGACACACTTTGCTTATGCTTTTCTTGAGCATCTGCTCAATATTTAAATTCTTAAAAGGTGTTTCATTATACTTATTTGCATGTCAATCTTTCCTCTTGACTGTAAGCATGTTTCCAAAATGGTACTCCCAATACTAGCAGTTTCAAGAGCTGCTGCTCCTTAAATAATCCTGAATGAATAGGAGAATGAATATGACTTCCCTCTGCTTGAAACTTCCAATGTGCACTTTTTGTCTGTTAAATGTAATTGAACTTACCTGGTTTGCTGTTAATAGAAAACAGTATTCCACAAGGGTTGAGCCACACCTAATTTTTTTTTTTCATTTCTTCCTACATTCGCTTGACTGGTGATTTAGAATATAATTAATAAATATCCCTCGAATGCCAAAATTAGCACAGGCATAGATCATGGTCCCTGTCCTCACAGAGCATAAAATCTAGTAGTGAATACTGAAAAGTAGGCTGGGAATCACAAATAAAGGGAAAAAGATATGCTATCCTAAGGAGAAGCAACATGCCCTGTGGGCATGTGACTCTGACACTGTCTCTCCTCAGAAAATCAGACAGGATTCCATGAAAAAAGTGCTGTCTAATCTGAGACTTGAAGGATACACAGACAGTAGTAGACAAACAAGAAGGAATGAGAAGGTGGGGTCTAGAAATACAGAGATCCCAATGTAGAGGATTTCTAGAAATTAAATGAAGGGCAGAGTGTTTTGAATATAAGGCACAAGGTCAGAACAGTATCAGAAGATGAGGGTGAATGAGTAGGCCTAGATTAGAATGAGCTGAGAGGTTTCATGGTCAAATATAGATATTGGAACACTCTTCATTGTGAAGAATAGAATAGAAAGGAAAATCAGTTTACAAGGTTCTTATCAACTTATTTATTAAGAAAGAAAGGATGTTGGCCTGGATAGAAGTAATGAACAATTAGAATTGAGGGAAGTGGTCAGAATCTGAAAATGTTTAGCAAATAAAATCAATGCAATGTGAATTGAGACTGGAAATAAGACATAAGGAAGGCTGAAGAGGTTTAATATCAGCAGGATTTGCTGCTTTCTTGTAGTTGGAGTATAGGCATTTACCAGTAAATGGAAAAGGGAATGAATGCTGGAAATGAATAAATGAGCAGTTCATCTGTAAAAGTTGAGTTGAATGAGGTTGTGGGATATAGTTAAGAGATGTCTTATTGTCTATCACATGTATGGGTTTCAATAGCGAGATCTACATCTAGGTCCAATCTATAAATTTGAGAGTGATTTATTTATTATTTTAAACTTATAATTGATGGCATGAGAATGTATAGATTATAAAATGAGGATCTCAGACCACATTTTTTTAAAATTATAAGTTCTTTATGTTTTTGACAAATGAAGAGTATATATATTTTCCATGTATAACATAATGTTTTGCAGTATGTATATATTCTGGAATGCCTGAATTCATCTAATCAGCATATGGATTATCTCATATGTTTATCTTTTTGTGATTAGAACACTTAAATTTTACTCTCTTAAATAATTGTCAAGAATACAATACATTGTTATTAACTTAAGTCACCCTGTTGCACAATATATCTCTTTAACTTATTCTTCTTATCTAATTGAAATTTTGTTTAATTTTACCTACATCTCCCAAACTCCCTACCTTCCCCTGGTACCCACCATTCTACCTTCTGCTTTTACAAGTTTAACTTTTTTAGATTCTACATTCGAGTGAGATCATGTGGTGTTTGTCTTTTGCTGCCTGGTCTGGCTTATTTCACTTAACATAATGTCCGTCATGTGCATCAATACTGTCAGAAATGACAGGATTTAGTTCCTTTTAAAAGCTGAATAATGTTGCATTGTGTATATAAACCACATTTTCTTTATCTGTTCGTCCATCTACAGACACTTAGATTGATTTTGGATCTTGGCTATTGTGAATAATGCTGCAATGAAAATAGAAGTTCAGATATCTCTTTGAAACACGGATTTCCATTTTTTTTAATACCTGCTTAATAGTGGGATTGCTGGATCATATGTTTAGCTCTATTTTTAACTTCCTGAGGAGTCTCCGTATAGTTTTCCATAATGACCATGCTAAATTGCATTTTACCAACAGTGTATAAGGGTTTATTTTATCCATAACCTCTCCAACATTTGTTATCTTTTGTCTTTTTGATAGTAGCCATTCTAAAAGGTGTGAAGTGATATCACATTGTGGTTTCAATTTTCCTGGTGATTACAGAGGCTGATCATTTTTCATATACATATTGTTTCTATATCTTCTTCTGAAAAATGGCTCTTCTGGTCCTTTATTTTTAAATCAGTTTGTTTTCTATTAATTGTTTGTGTTCCTTATATTTTCCATATTAACTCCTTATCAGATGCATGGTTTGCAAATAATTTCCCAATTCTGTTGATATCTCTTTAATCTTTTGATGTTTCTTTGGCTGCGTAAAAGCTTTTTAGTTTGGGCCGGACACAGCGGCTCACACCTGTAATCCCAGCACTTTGGGAGGCTGAGGCTGGCGGATCATCTGAGGTTCAAGACTAGTCTGGCCAACATGGTGAAACCCCGTCTCTACTAAAAATACAAAAATTAGCCAGGCAAGGTGGCAGGCGCCTGTAGTCTCATATGCTTCAGAGGCTGAGGCAAGAGAATCGCTTGAACCCTGGACATGGAGGTTGCAGTGAGCCGAGACTGTGCTACTGCACTCCAGCCTGGGTGACAGAGCAAGACACTGTATCAAAAAAACAAAAAACAAAACAAAACAAAACAAAAAAACTTTTTTTAGTTTGATGTAATTTAATTTCATTTGTGTATTTTAGCTTTTGCTTCCTGTACTTCTGCATCATATCCAGAAATCATTGTCTAGACTAACGTCATGAAGCTATTCTCCTCTGTTTTCTTCTAATAGTTTCAATTCTTACATTTACATAGTTAACCCATTTTAAGTTTATTTTTGTGTATGGTGAGACATAAGCATCCAATTTCATTCTTTTGTATGTGGTTATCCAATTTTCCCAATATCACTTATTGAAGAGTTTGTCCTTTCCTCATTGTGTGTTTATGAAACCTTTGTAGAAAAGTCTAAATGAATGTAAATAATTGGGTTTATTTTTGGGCTTGCTGTCCTGTTCCATTGCTGTCTATGTCTGTTTCTATGCCACTCTTGTGCTATTTTACTTACTGTAGCTTTGTACTATATATATATATATATATTTTTTTTTTAAGTCAGGTAGTTGATGTCTGCAGCTTTCTTCCCTTTACTCAAGATTGCTTTGTCTATTCATGGTTTTTTGTGATTTCATATAAATTTTAGGATTTGTTTTTATTTTTATAACAAGTGCCACTGTAATTTTGATAGGGATTGCATTATATATTTAGATTTCTTTGGGTATTAGGGACTTGTTAATAATGGTAATTTTTGCAGTACATCAACTCAAAATATCTATTTATTTGTGTCTTCTTCAATTTCTTCTATCAATGTTTTATAGTTTTGGGGTTTTTGTTATTGTTGTTAATTTTGAGACAGGGTATTTTTCTGTAGCCAAGGCTAGAGTGCAGTGTCACAATTATAGCTCACTGTAACCTCAAACTCCTGGGCTTAAGCAATCCTCCCACATCAGACTTCCAAGTAGCAAGGACTATAGACACCTGCTACCATGCCCAGCCAATTTTTTAAATTCTTTTGTAGAGACAGAGTCTTACTATGTTGATAACTTTCGAGTTTTATATTTTTAAGTGCGCATGTTTTTCACCCACGTTGTTAAATGTATTTCTAATTATTTTTGTAGCTATTTTAAATGGAAGTTCTTATATTTTTTAAAGATAGTTTATTGTTATATAGAAACACTACAGATTTTTATATGTTGATTTTGTATTCTTCAATTTTACTGAATTTGTTTATTTGTTCTAAAAAATTTTTGGTGGAGCCTTTAAGGTTTTCTCTATATAAAACCATTTCTTTTTAAACAGGCAGAATTAAACCTCTTCCTTTCCAATTTTGATGCCTTTTATTTCTTTTTGTTGTCGAATTGCTTTGGCTAGGACTAGCAGTACTATGTTGAATAGAAGTGGTTAACATGAGTATCTTTGTCTTCTTCCTGATGTTGGAGAAAAGATTTTCAACTTTTCACCTTTGAGTATGATGTTAGCTGTGTGTTTGCTACATGTGGCATTTGTTGTGCTGTAAACTCTTCCATATTTTTAATTATCATATTTCTTCACATATCATTCTTTCAATCAACACTATATTAGTTTACTGAGCACACAAATAAATAGAACAGAAACCCAGAACTCAGGCAGATTGGATATCCCACAAACTAATCTGCTTACTGTTTGCAAATCTTCATATTTTGTTCCAACATCTGTACCTGATATTGCAAAACCAATATTTTTGCTACCTCTTCTAAGAAGCCTTTGTGATCTTACCTGTGGGAATGTATTAATCTTTTCTGAGCCCCTTGAATATCTTGTCTGCATTCTCTTAAGAAGCTCTTCACCAACAGTCAGGCAATGTAGCTTGATGAATTAAGAATGGGAGCTCTGGATTCTCAACCCCTACATTACAATTCTTGTTCCGCATATACTATATATTCTTAGTTCTTTTCATGTTATTTGAATCAATTACTTACTACCTTCCCATTTCCATGTAAGATAAGTTAATATACATTTCAAATGAATTTTTTTGTGAAATTTCAGTAATGCACTGGGCATGATGGAGGCTCAAATATATTAATTATTTCAACTGAAGCCATGTCATGTTTAACAATATAGAATATGGTGAAAAAAACAAGATGTGAATCCTAATGTGTTATATAAAGAAAATTGTTAAGTTAAATATAATATATAAATATATAATATGTATTAGATATAATGTGATATGTTATAATATATTATTGATAAAATATTATATATCATAACAATACAATATATAATATATATAATAACATAATAAATATACTATAGGGAATGTAATAACCATCCCAATGGCTGATTGTGAGGGTCTACTATATTAACATTTATAAAATCATTGGTACAGTGACTTGCAAATAATAATGATAATGATGATTTATATTGCATTATATGCATTCATTTTTTATTTATAATAAGTGGGTGGGACATATAACCTTTTATTAAGTTAGTTTATATTAGGTAACTTTTTGGACACACCATTATGGTTACAAGGCAGCATTTTTCCATTAAATAGTTGGCTTTACAATTTGCATAGGGATAATAGAAGTTCACTTCTTTTAGAATCATTAAAAATTTAGAGTAAGGTTGTTGAAAATATAATTCCTGGAATGTACAAGATTCAATATTCTTTGGATTGGTAGATATATGGATCGGCAGGTGTAGTGGGGGTTAGGAGGGGACTATTAATCCAAAACGGAATGCTGTCCATCCTGTATGGTAGCCACTCGCAACATGTAGCTATGAAGCACTTGGCTTGTGGCTAATGAAACATGTTGAAATAATACCTCCTATATGTTATATTAAATAAATATGTAATAAAAATTAAATTTATTTGTTTAGTTTTCCTTTTTAAATGCGATAGTAAAAAATTGAGTATTGGAAATGGAACACACATTAAATTTGTAGTAGATAGCGCTCTGACAACTACTTACTCAGTATACTCTTGCACAGACACAATAGAAAGTCCACATGAATAAATGAGTAAAACCTTTATCCTAGAGTAAAACATTTGGAAAAATCAAATTCTTTTGACTGTATAAGGAAAGGCCAAATTTAACACCAACATCGTCAAAATATTTTTCCCAGAATGATCAGAATCTATGATTGCATTTTTGGGTGGATCTGCTTTTCTCTCTTTTCCAGTAACAATGCATCTCCCGATATAGAATATCTCCTAGATATGAGATATAACTATAACCCCTACATGTGACGAAATCTTCTTCCCAGGACATCTTCTCTCTCGATCTTCTTAGGTGATAAATTGGGTCACAGAAGCAGAAATCACAACTTATATTATGTAATATTCTCCACCTCATTCGAATATGGAGGTTGGACCACCTGAGGCAAGAGAATCTACAGATGCCCTCAAGCTTTGCCCTCATGAATAACTCCTGAGACTATGTAAAGAAAGAGCTGAAAAGGTGTTATACTGTCTGCATGAAACAGAAAAAAAGAAGAGAAATCGTTGCTTTCATTAAGTGCACCATTTTTTACAGCACTAAATGATTGGGGGTGGGGATGGCAGTAACTATTTCATGAATGTTTTCAGCGAGGAAAAGATTATGTGACTTCACACAGACACCAATTCTCTCTCAACCCATGATCTAGATCATTTTATCATGGGTTGAAAGAGAATTGGTTTTCCTATGGCTCAAGTATTTATTTTTGTAATCATTTGGAATTTATGACAATTGTAACTTTAGCCATGGAATAAAAATGTTTATAAGATAATACAGCTGAGTAGTAACTGTTTGCACTCTAGTTGAAAAGTCTAGACATGAAGGATACTTGAAAATATAATTAAGGCTTGAAAAACATTACAAGTTGATGTGTTAAAAATGGTATCAAAATAACTATGCTTCCAAAGGCAAAGACCTTTGCTATATTCATTTTTTACTGGAGCCAATGACCACATCTCTTGATTTTAATGAAATTTGACCCGAATCTTAAATACTAGGAAAGATTTGCGTAGGTGTAGAAAAAAAGGGATGAGAAAAGGGGTAGCCATTATTTTAGTTTCCTCAAGAGTATTGAATAACCATTCCAGATATGTCGTTGTCTTTCTCTGGGTTCTTGAGAAAGAAGAAGTCAATGTCTTTTGATACAAGTTACAGCAGAGAGCAGCTGCATGAAGACTTAAAAAAGCAACATTGATAGGCATAAGGGGGTAGAAAAGAAACCTGAATAAATTAAATTCACTGCATCTCCACCTCCTGCAGATCTATCCAATAAAGGAGAGAAAGGACCGCATACGCCTGGTTCTCATCATATGCAATAAAGAGTTTGACCATCTGCCTCCAAGAAATGGGGCTGACTTTGCCATCATGGAGATGAAGAAGCTGCTTGAGGATCTGGGTTACAGTGTGGATGTAGAAGAGAATCTGACAGCCAGGGTAACAACCCCTCAGCCACCCCAAACTCATACATATTGAACACGCATCCTTCTAATAACTAGTTAGCTTTATAGAAGCTCAACAAAGTTTAACAATCTCTGCTACCTTGTGTGTGTGTGTGTGTGTGTGTGTGTGTGTGTGTGTGTGATGCAAAAAATGAAAGCATTAGATTGGTAAATTTATGTCTCTTTTTTGCTCCAAATGTCCTCAATTCCATAAAACTAGACAAAATATGATTGGCACGAGTTTTCACATTTCTGATTGAGATTCAAAGTCTGGTGATTGGGATGCAGCCCCAAGATTCTCCATAAAATTATATAGTAATAAGTGTTAAACAGGAGTACAGTCTTAAAACAAATATTGAGTACTAAATTGGTGACCAAAGCTATTCCTAGCATTGGGAGTAGGTCTGTAAATGAGACAGGAAGTTCCCAGTCGGCATCCATCTAGGTTACAGTAGAGAGAAACAGTGAAGTTATAAGCAAAACGGACAGCTTCAGAGAACAGGTGTGCATATATGTGTGTCTACATAAGAGTGACAAGAAAGCCAAGAGTAAGAAAAAAGAAAAAGGAAACATGACAGAGAATTGTAGGGTAAGGAAAAATGTTCTTGGGTTGGCTGAAAAAGCCTCCGTGGGGAGATAACACAGGGGTTGGACTGGACTACCAGAAGGAGACAACCTTGGAGAGACATGAATGCAGTGCCTTCAAAGTACGAGAAGCTACCTGTGAAAGAGCTGAGCTGAAAATGAAACTGGCACATGAGAAGCACAAAGAGAAGACCAGTATGACTCAAGTTTGGAGGAGAAGGGACATAGTATGTGGGTGGAGTATGGTCAGACCAGAAGTTTGATTTGATTCTAAGCAAACTGGGATGGGTTTTACAAAGAAAGTGGTGTGATGCATTTATAACACATGACTCTTGGTAGGTAAGGAGAAAGATTGAGATGGAAAAGAAAAAGGGAAATGAGTAACATATAAAAATATACAATATATAAAGAAGACGGTGTGTCAGCCAGAGAAGAAAATGGCAACCCATAGCCCCATTAAGAAGGAAATATGAAACCATAAAACAGCTGTCATCACTGAGTAAGCACTATGTGAAGCGCCATGACCCAGATGTTACATATGTTTCTTGTTTCGCTCATGGTAAATCTAGGAGGCCCCATTAATTGTGATGCTTCTCCGACTAAAGTTAGACATTGCTCTTTTCCAGAATATGAAGTCATTGCTGTGGGCATTTGCTGCCTGACCAGAGCACAAGTCCTCCGACAGCACGTTCTTGGTGCTCATGTCTCATGGCATCCTGGGGGGAATGTGTGGAACTGAACATGATGAGGCAAACCCAGATGGGCTGCTTTCCTTCAGGCCAAAGCTGAAGGAACACTTGAAGCCAGGATTTTGAGACCAATTGATTCATAGCTCTTGGGAGCTATTTTTCAAATGAAAGAGAAAACAGAAATAATTTTTCTAAAAACTGGTAACTACAAGATGATTTCATTATCACTAGGCACACTGTTGAATGACACTTGAGAGAAAACAAAGTGGTATGTATGTGTGTGTGTGTGTGTGTTTGTGTGTGTGTGTCTGTGTGTTTGTATGTGTATGGGTCTATGTGTATGAAACTAGTTAGAAAGAACATTAAAAAAGAACAAGGGGATTCTGATAGCCATACTGTAGGAGGCACAGTAGTGTGTAGAAAATTGTTGTCTCTGCAGCAAACCATGGGGAACAGTGGGTCAGAGACTGTCCAGCATCTTTGGGAGTCATGTCTTCACAGTCACCTAAGAACCTGGAGGATGCAGTTTGCAAGACATACCAGAGAAGGACTTCATTGTTTTCTGCTCTTCAACCTCATGTATACGTCTTTTGGTGGTATTAAGTGATTTGTGGGCCTGAGGCTACCTTTGAATGATTCTACCAAATCAAGAATCCCTAAGAAACAATGATCCGAGGGAATGTTGTGTGCTCTCCCATATTTTACATGATCTTAGATGTGATGTGAAAACAGATTCCTTCCCCCTCCCACACCCACGTTTTTAAAAATTGTACTTTTCTTATAAGTGTTACAATTTAAAGCCAAAGGCATACCAAATATTAAAGCAACACAACATAAGGAATCCCATTCACCACACACCATTTAAACACAAATGATGGATTCTGTTATTTATCAAACCCATTTAATGTTTTGTGTAGTGTTTTCATGGATTCCAGGAATGGCTTCCCTTTCTCAAATGATCAATTTCAAGTCTTATTCTCCATATTTCCCATCTGATTCCACTATGAGCAGTGCCATTGCATGCCCTACTAGAACTGTGGATACCCTTTAAAACAAGTAGAAGATGATAGGGTGGGACTCATTACGTCTAATCTTGGGGAACACTGGTTAGTATTTCACTTCTAGGTAATTATCTTAAGGAGTATACATTTAACCATTTTTAATTTGTATATTTTTAAGTCTTATTTTTTAAAACCAGTTTACTGAGGTATGATTGACATATATAATGTTACATATATAATGTATACAACTTAATGAGTTACAGATAAGTATGCACTCCTGAAATCGTCACCACAATCTGTGCCACAAATATATCTCTCTCCTCCAAAAGATCCTTCCACTTCTCTGTTTATTATTATAATTCCACGAGTGCATGTGAAAATAACACTTAACATAAAATCTACCCTCTTAGCATATTTTAAGTTTACAATACAGTATTGGTTACTATTGGCACCATCCTGTACAGTAGATTTTTATCACTTTTTTCATCTTCTATCACTGAAACTTGGTGTGTGTTCATCTATTTTGTTTATTATATGGTGAAAGACAGCATGGCATAATCTGCAAACAACTTGGGAGCCTAGTGGCCATTTTTTGTTGCTTACTCACTGTGGTAATATGAGGGAGTTTCTTCATCTTTTGGAGCCTCTATTCCTTCCTCTGTAAAGTGGGATAATTCCAGTTATTTCTCAAGCCCCTATAAAAGCCAAGAGAATAAACACAATGTTTGTAGTAGAAAGTCAGTCCCAAGAATCAAAATACAATCACTACACAATCTCTTGCAATGCTTACAAACTGCACCTTTTGATCAACTGTTGCTAGGTTTTTTGTTGACTTTATGCGGAAAGTGGTTAAATGTAAGGTTGTAAACATGTCGTCTAAATCTGTAAAGATAATTCCCAAGCTATGCTTTTATTAAAAAAAAATCCTCAAAACAAAAATGTAAACAAAAAATAGTGAAGGTCATAGCCCAAGGCATACCCATCTGTATCATCATAGATAACGTGTCCAGGAGAGACAGCACAAGGGGCTCCATCTTCATCACACAACTCATCGCATGCTTCCAGAGATATTCCTGGCGCTGCCACCTAGAGGAAGTATTTTGGAAGGTCAGTGTCTCTTTCTTTTCTAGTCATTCACTCATTTGTTCAAGAAGAATTTGTCATGATTCACCTTTCACTTCGCAATTACAATCTTTGTCAGTCAAGTGAAGGTTGAGAGATACCTAGTTTCTGTCATTCAAGTGTTTAAAATATGCTTTAGGGAAAAACAGTTCCAGGAGATCAAAGTAAAACAAAATAATGTCAACCATAATCTTTACGTATTAGGCTATAAGTTCTTAAGTTTTAGAGAATGAAAAATATTTTGAAATAATTTTTATTACTTCATTTATGAAATGAATAAAAACTGGGTGGTCTACTAGGTCATTGGGTCCATCCTGGTGACAGAGGGGTACATGAGGCATGCATGCCGTTAGCCTATCTAGGACTCACATTTTCGTGGGAGATACAGATACTGAAAATGTGGGTTAATCAACAAATAAGTGTTTACAGACTGTGATACGATCCATAAAGGAATGTGAGAGGGAATAAAGAAGTCGATCTTTCAATGGAGAATTGCAGAAGGAAAGGCTTGCTCCTCCTTGCCCAATTTGGGACATTCCTTATTCCCACTTCTTCCTATGTTATTTTTCTCCATAGTTCTTACCTTCCTGCACTCGGCATATATTAATAGTTTACGTATTTGTCTGTTATTTTACCCATATTTACTTTCTAACATGAAAACTTCAGGATGATGGGGATTTGCTCAGCACCCCAACAAACCTGGCATACAGTAAATATTCAATTAATCTTTGAATAAATAGATGCATAAATGAATAAAGAGAGAATCTATTCTATTTAATCTAAATATATTCTATTTTTTAAAGAGAAAACAGGATTGGTATTAACACAGTATAGTGTGGTTGTTTATAAAGTAAAACCTGTAGAGAACAGTATGACTCCTGTGGGAAAAGAAGAATACACCTTTATTCTGGCATTTAAAGAAGAAAGCCATCCAGGACTGGCGCCGCGGCTCATACCTGCAACCCCAGCAGTTTGAGAGGCCGAAGAGGGCCAATTGCTTGAGTCCAGGAATTTGAGACCAGCCTGGGCAACATGGAGATACCCCGTCTCTACATAAAATACAAAATTTTGGTGGGCGTGATGGCAGGTGCCTGTAATCCCAGCTATTTGGGAGCTAAGGTGAGAGGATTGCTTTAGCAATGGAAGACAAGGTTGCAGTGAGTGGAGATCATGCCACTGCACTCCAGGGCAGGTGACAGAATGAGACCCTATCTCAAAAAATAAAAAAAGAAAAAAGAAGGAGTATGAGAAGATTGCAGCATAAATTGAGACAGAGTTTCTGTGAATAGAGACCTAAGAAGATAATTTTTTTAGGATAATTAGGAATTAGACATTGTACTTTCAAGGGTATTCTTAGAAAAAAGAGCTAAAAATTCTGGATTTAGGGTAAGTAGCATCTCAGCATCTCATCAATTGGTTCATCCAAAAGACTACAAGATCAGCTTGGTGGTGAAGTGAAAGTTGTTCAGTGTTCAAGTCTCAAAGTTAAGGTAATGAGACTTAATTCTCATTCAGTGGAGGAATCAGTCTTGGTGGGAGTTGTAAGTATAGAGCCATTCCCTATCCTGGTCTCATGAACAATTTCCAAGGGATAACTGATTGTCTGATCTGTAGGTCAGAAATGGAAAACAGAGGAAATGAATGTTGAAAGGCTTTGGATTAGACATGAGGTATTTATCTTGATGTAAAGGGTACAGTCTGACATGGAGTGTCAATTCTAAGAGGTAGTGTACAACGTTGAGAAGACAGAATACCCATGGGCTTGGTCCTATGAAACCTGCAAACTCTCTTCATTCCAGGACTTTCCTGGTTCATGGTGGAAGATGCTTTCTGAGACTTGAAAAGAGTCGTATCTCATCTATAGCCTACTTTCTTTTTCAGGTTCAGCAAGCATTTGAAAGTCCGGAGGCAACAGTCCAAATGCCCACCATAGAACGAGTGTCCATGACAAGATATTTCTACCTCTTTCCTGGCAATTGAAAATGGTTAAGCATTGAGAGTTGTTGGTGGTGTATGAAATAAATGAAAGTGTGATATTGGAGGTGAGTTCCGATGACCAATGACAGTTGAGTACTTGGATGGCCAAATTAGTGTACTTTGTTGATGTAGTCTGGTGATTGATTATCTGTTATCTTTTATTCGATTTTTTTTGCATTTGGGTTCCCCCAACTCTATAATTAATCAGGCAATCAATCAATCAAGGACGTAAGGAAAACCAAGGCCAAATGAGATAATAAAAAACCCAGGGTAGCACTTATTAAAATAGAAACATACTCCTGCATCCATTACTATTTATATTCATTTACATCTCATACTCTACCTTTTTCTCTCCTTTTCTTACACACACACACACACACACACACAAACACATACTGAGTTACCAAACATTGCATCAATCTGAACAAAAATGAGAAAACAGAGGCACTAACTCTGCAGAAAGCAGTACTTTGATTTTCTGAGTGAGGATTTCACAGCAAATACCACATTACTGGTGTTCAGGTACCCTTATCAGACAGTAGAAAATAAACCCTACAGTGTAGAGTTTGTGTTGATCCAGTCTCTCGTTCTCAGAATGTTCTCATAATGCAGATCACAAATCACTGAGAGACTGTTTTCAGACCCTCAACCCTTTCCAGAAGTTCCTTCAAGCTCTCGTGTTAATAGATATACTTTTATTTTCGTTCTTTTGATAAAAATGTTATAGATTGGGTACATTCAATCTGGACCAAATGACTACATTCTTCACTCATAGCATCTTCATTTAACGCTATATTATAATCCTATTATTAATCTCCATCTCAGATACATAATTAAAATTATATTCTATACTCAACTGTGTAAAGGTTATCTCAATACTTCCAATATTTGCCACATCATCTTTTACTCTTGGTTTCTGACACTACACTCCAGTCACAATATTGTATCATTTCAGCATAACAGCTTTCAGTGCCTAATCCATCCAATGGGGCTATATTTGGGCATTGAGTTGTTTGTTTGACTAACATTTGCAACATTAACCATGCACCAGGTTCTGTTCTAATTGGAGTATGCCAATTAACAAAGTAGATAGATTCCTTACACTCAGAAAGTTTATATACTAGTGAGGAGAAGCATTCTCTGAATACACAAATAGGTAAATATATCACAAGCCGAAACACAAAAAATAAAATAAAATAAAAGGCTAAGAGGAAAAATAAATGATGATAAAGGAACACACAAAATGATGGATGCTGTACTCCTATAGATATTTCACTCAGGAAAGACTTCCTTGAAATAATGAAATGAGAACAAAGAATGGACAGAGTTGGAAAGTGAACCATATGGTTCTTATGCAGGAAAAGTGTCCCAGCACAGAATACAGCCAGTGCAAATGCCCTGGGATAGCAATGCACTAAACATGTTTAAAGAACTGCAATGAGACAGTGTGACCAAAAGAGAACATGAGTGGGGAAAATGGCAGAGACAAATTAGGAGAAGCAGTGGGAAGCCAGATCTCATGGTTCTTGGTTATCACATGGTAAACCTTTAAAAATTACTGTCTCACTGAGACAAGAAGCCTTTCTAGTGCTTTAGAAAAGAGAAGTAACATAATTTTACTTAGGTTTTAGGTTTTACAAAGATCACATTTCAGTGAAAAGATTAACAGATCACAGATGGAAGTCAAGGGAAGTGTCAAGAGCAAATGGAAGAGGATGGAAGAAGAATCATGATGAGGGATGGGATGAAGGCAGCAAGGGGTAACCATCTTGACCTTCTGTTCTTTCTCTCCCCAGCAGGAAACCACAAGCAGCCCAGCCCTCCTTTATCAACTTCAAGAAACACCTTTACTAGTACAGATTGAATGCTTAACATTTTGTATTTCAATAAAGGTGAAGACAAATGAACTGTGTCTTTTTCTTTTTTTAATAGAGAATATAATTTCACTGAAAATGGTGGGTGAGTCTAAATGAAGTGGAAGAAGCTAACTGGATTTTTGATCTTTATACCTCATGTAATATCTGATGAAGAAAACTGACTGTGACTTAGCCCCAACAATAGGATGAAAGAAGATGATGCCGAAAACTATAGTGACGTAGTGCGCCTCATACCCATTAGAATGATTCCCATCAAAACAAACAAACAAACAAACAGAAAATAACAAGTGTTTGCAGGGATGTAGAATAATTAGAACCCTGTGATCTGTCGTTGAGAATTTCAATTGGTACAGCTACTGAGGAAAGCTGCATGAAAGTTCTGCACAAATTAGAAGTGGAGTTACCATATGATCCAGAAATTCCATCTATGGGTACGTACCTAAAATAATTGAATGCAGGGTCTCAAAGATTTATTTATACACCCACATTCATAGAAGCATTGTTCACAATATCTAAAATGTGGAAGCCACACAACTAACCAATAAATGATAAATGGATAAACAAAATGTGGTATACACTCATAATGGAATTTTAGCCTTAAAAACAAAGTTCTGACATTTGTTACAATATGAATGAACCTTCAGAACATTAGGCTATGTGAAATAAGGCAGCAACAGAAAAACCAACACTGTATGATTTCACTTACATATGAGGTACCTAGGGTCTCAAATTCATAAAGACAGAAAGTAGAATGGTGATGGTCAGGGACAGTGGGTAGGAGGAAATGGGGAGTTACTATTTAATGATCTAGAATCTCAGTTTTACAAGATAAAGAAGAATTCTGGAGGTAGATTGGGGTGACTGTTATGACATTATGAATGTATTTATTATCACCAAACACCACATGTAAAAATGTTAAGATGGTCAATTTGGGGGTATGTTTTTGTTTTGGGTTTTTTTTTTTTTTTTGGAGACAGAGTCTCCCTCTGTCACCCAGGCTGGAGTACAGTGGCCCAATCTCACTGCAAGCTCTGCCTCCCAGGTTCAAGCCATTCTCCTGCCTCAGCCTCCCGATAAGCTGGGACTACAGGCACCTGCCACTACACCCAGCTAATCTTTTTGTATTTTTAGTAGAGACGGGTTTTCACCGTGTTAGCCAGGATGGTCTCCATCTCCTGACCTCGTGATCTGCCCACCTTGGTCTCCCAAAGTGCTGGGATTACAGGCGTGAGCCACTGTGCCTGGCCGGGGGTATGTATTTTTACCACAATAGGAAATTGGGAAAAAATGGTATTAATTGGAGGTGAGAAGAGATGGAGTAAATTGCACCCAGGAAACTCTGATCAACTTACACAGAGGAGAATTAAGCTACTATGCAAAATTGATGAAAGAAGAAGTGAGAGTTAGGTATATTATTATTTCAAAATGAATCAAGGAAATAATTGGAAATCACACTATTATCAAATATAAGATAGAATAGGAGAGAGAATTCGCAGTGTGAATGAGCTACATCTCATTTTTCATATGAGACAGTTAATAGCATTGTTTGTAATTTTTGTATCATGAAATAGATAAAACAGGCATCACTGGGTGTTCCAAAGATTGTTAGCAAAAAATAAAGCAAATAACAGAGAAATTACACCTAGTTTGTGGGACCAAAGATGAAAAGCATAAAAATCTGATTTTTATTGTAGTGTTTTCTGTACTACTGACAAAACTTTTAAAAATTGTAATCTATCCACATTTTAAATAGTATACAGCCATCAAAAATCAGATAGTGTTTCATGTGTTGATTTTTTAAAATGTTTGTCACACATTGTGAAGTTAAATAAAGCAAATTATCAATAATATAATTTTAAGATACTGCCACTATAGAAAAAACAAAAAACAATCTGTAGGTAATTATGTGTCTGTTAGTTATCTATTGTTGAGTATCAAAACACCCCAAAATACAGTGGCTTCACACAAGAAGCATTTATTATTATTACAAGGTGGCCAGTCAGCTGAATGTTTCTTTTTGTCACTGCTAGGATTGTGTCTGAGATCATCTGTGTGTAGGGTAGGCATCTCTGCTGACAAGGCTGGGATACCCCATAGGTTGGGAAAACACTTGGCTGGAGGCTGGCCTAGGTTGGCCTTGGCTGGGATGACTGGGCTCTTCTCCACATGAGGTCTCTATTCAGCTAGCAATCTAGCCCAGGCTTATCCTCATTTAGCTTCAGGTGTTCAAGAGGAAGAAGGGCACAAGGATTTGTAAAACTCAGACTGGAAACTCCTTCAGATCCCTCTGCTCCATCATGCTGGCCAAAACCAACCTATAAGGCCAGTTCAGAATAAAGTAAAGGCCAAAAAATGCTAGGAGGCCATTGATTAGAGCCATGGATAAGATCAGTATTGCATTAAGTGTTTTGTAAAATTATTTAAAATATTACACACAGATACAAGCTAAACGTATCGTTGTGATTACCTTGCCATGTGAAATTAAATAATCTACATTTTTCCATTTTATAAACTTTTCTGTTGTTTGATTTTAATGGCACACATATATCTGTTTCAAAAATAAGTGAAAGAGCCTCTTGTTCATTTAATGAACAAAAATACATTGATCTTGTGGAAAAACAACATCCCAATTTAAAAATGAGTGGATCAGGAAAGAGAAGAAAAGAGATCACTTATGTGAGTTTCTCAAATAGTGAAGGGAGTATCACCATTTGGCAGTCTTCAGTTAGCCTCTTTCCCTTAACTTCCAAAATCACACTTCCGGGGTTGAGTAAGTATCAGTGAAGTAAAGACTCCTGACCATTTAGAGGCTGATGGCATCAGACAGACAAACAGAGATTTAACTTAATTTATTAACAGTGTTAAAAATAGACAGGAAAACAGAACACAGAGACGGGTTCTCATGCAAGTGTACATGATTTCATTCTGTTCACTTTGTTATGTCAAAAAGAAGAAAACACCTTCTGCTTCCTATTTTCCAAAGGAAAGCAGTTATACACGAGATCAGAGTCTAATTTTATCTTGGCAAAGAAAAAGAGAATTTGAGGACTGGGAATTTTCCATTCAGGGTAATATCAACAAGCTGGTCCACTGAGAGGAGAGCAAGCCTGTTGAAATTGTTTTTGCTTTCACAGCTTTTTCCTGTCCGGGGAGCAGGAGAAGCCATGGCTGGTGAGTGGCTTCAGTTTTTCTGTTGTTTATGGCTGTCCTTTGAGAACGTTATATTCAAGGGAAAGAAGAAGGCAGAGTGGAGGGGGTCTCCCAAAAGCTAACTATTTTACTCTGGGTATGGAGGGAGATATGTCAGCTTCCGGCACAGCACTAAAAATGCAAACCAAGTGTCTTCATTAATATGTTACAACTTCTCAAATGAAAGAGAAATGTAGAAACACCTGGATTTCTGTTCTTAAACTTTTCCTTTGATTTTAGACTCTTCTTTTAACTCATACTGACCCGAAATTCTCACCCATTTTATAAGTGTTCTGTTACGGTGAGGGTGAGAAGCCAGGCGGTTGAACAGGTAACTTGCATTTCCTCCACATTTCTGCTCTCTGTGTGAACTTTCAATTACAGCAGCAAATGGGTCAGCTACAACATGTGTGCTCAATCTGCGCATACCGAGCTTCCCTGCCAGCCTTGATAAGGGAAACAAAAAAGGTGTTATTTTACAGATGAATGCATTTATGCTACACATATTGAATGTAATGTCTTTTCAAACTAGTTATTGATAAAAGTGAAAGAAAATGAAGAGATCGTAGGAGATGTAAAGACTAAACTGAGTCAGCTGTCACTAAGTTCCTTAGTGAATTCACTTTGCTTCCCTGAATCTATTTCACCATCTATGAAAATGGAGAGAATTGAACAAGACAGGAGCTTCTCCACGTGTGGTCCTTGCACCAGAGGCTTTGGCATCACCTGAGAAATTGTTATAAATGAAAATTCATGGGCCCATTCTCACCTATCAAATAAAAATTATTTGGACTAGGATGCAGGAAGCTCTGCTTACTAAGCTTTCTAGGTGATTCTTATGCACGTTAAAATTTGGGAACCACTACCCTAGAATGGGGATCTAAAGTTCTGTCCATATCTAAGATTCTATCATTTTCACAGATGAGAAACCATCCAACGGTGTTCTGGTCCACATGGTGAAGTTGCTGATCAAGACCTTTCTAGATGGCATTTTTGATGATTTGATGGAAAATAATGTGTTAAATACAGATGAGATACACCTTATAGGAAAATGTCTAAAGTTTGTGGTGAGCAATGCTGAAAACCTGGTTGATGATATCACTGAGACAGCTCAAATTGCAGGCAAAATATTTAGGGAACACCTGTGGAATTCCAAAAAACAGCTGAGTTCAGGTGAGTATTGTGGGGCTAACAGCTAGTAATTCATTCTTATTCTTTCTCTACTCTTCTTATTCAGTTTTTGTCTTCTTTATTTTTCCTTTCTCCAAGTGGAGAATAAACTATGCCCATCTTAGGACCTTCTTCACCAATCTTTTTTTTTTTTTCTTTTTTTTTTAAGACAGAGTATTTTGCTTGCTGTTGTCATCCAGGCTGGATGGAGTGCAATGGTGCAATCTTAACTCATTGCAATCTCCACCTCCCCAGTTCAAGCAATTCTTCTGTCTCATCCTCCTAAGTAGCTGATTTTATGGGCATCCTCCACCATGCCTGGCTAATTTTATTTATTTATTTATTTATTTATTTATTTATTTATTTATTTATTTATTTATTTTTTAGTAGACACAGGGTTTCACCATGTTGCCCAGACTGGTCTCAAACTGCTGATCTCAGGTGATCCTCCTGTCTCAGCCTCCCAAAGTGCTGGGATTACAGGCATGAGTCACTGGGCCTGACCTCCTGTCTATCTTATTTAATGTCACAAAATACCTTGATCATCCCCAATTACTTTTACACTGCTGTATACTTTTTTCTTTAACAATACTCACCATATCACTCCATACAATTTACTTATTCATTATATTATTATGTCTCCCTCTGCTGAAATGTAGACTCCACCATGTGGGGGGTCTTTGTCTGCTTTGTTCATGAATATATCCCAAACACATGGAAATGATACCTGAAACATAATAGGTGCTCAGTAAATATCTGTTAAATAAAGGAATGGTGTTGGATACATTAAATTCAGTGATAGCCTTTAGCTATTCTGGGCTACTCTGGTTGCACAAAGTGGACGTTAGAGTCATTCCCAGATACAGAATGTACAATAGGGGATATCTATTATCTTTTGCTTAGCTGTGGCTTTGCCCCAGAAAGAAATGTCTGGAAATCTAGATTTCTATTTAAGGAAGGAATAGGGAATTCATGGGTCAGTGGGGTATAGATGTTTCCTTCTCTCTGGAACATGGGTTGCTACACTTTTTCTTTGAAAGATAATTAATATTTTAATCTTTCTGGACCATGTGGCCCCTGTCATGACTCAAATCATCTATTGTAGCTCACAAACAGCAATAGACCATAAGTGCATGATGGGTGTGTTGATGTGTATCCCAGTATAACATTATTTATAAAACTGGGTGTTGGGCTGAATCTGACCCATAGGCCATGGTTTGCTGATTCCTACTCCAGACTGTAATACATAAATAAGTATATTCCCAATTCTTGGATATGCATCAAGAAAAGGCCAGTGAGCCAGGATGTTTAGCCATAACTTCTCCCCAGAGGTGGCATTTCAGTACATACTTGAACTGTGGGGAAGGAGTTGTGCCAAACTCTGAAACAAAAGTGTTCTCTAGAAAGGGGAAACAAGAGCAAGGACCCTGAGACAGTAATGCTCTTGCTGTGTAAGAGGGTCACAGCCAATCTGACTGGAGAGTAGGAAATTAGAGGGAGTATAAATGGAGCTATTAAAGAGACAGGCCGGGATTTTATTTGCAATATAAAACGTTGCAGGGTTTTGTTTTTGCTTTTTTTTTTCTTTTTTTGGAATCTTTTTTAGACAACTGTTTATTAGCAGTCGAGGATCCTTACAAATTCCAGGAGTGTTGCATAGCCTCTGTTCTTCCTGGCCATCTATTACAGTTAACATCTATTTCTAAAACAAGTGCTTAAACTTGTGTGAGTATTAAAGAATGTTTTTATGGAAGCTAAGTTTTATCTTAGTTTACATAAAATAAGTTGACATTAAAAAGCAGAAGTAATATGACATATGATAAATTGCCCTGAGTAAGAACTTGGTACTCCCTTTTACCAAAATGTAAATAAGGTGTTTCCAACTGAGAGTTTTTTAAAAAATAAAGGAGCTTTTAATCTCCCACTTTTCTTTCTCCATCTCTTTCATTTTTCCTTTCTTATCATCTGTTTTATTTTCTTTCCCATTGACATTCTTTTTCTTGTTTCTGTTTTTTCCTTCTCTCTTTTTTTCCTCTGTTCTTTTTCTCCTTCTTTCCTTTTACTTTCTTCCCTCCGTACTCTCAATTCTCCCTTTAATTTCACTGCCAATTTTGAAATCATTACATGCTAATTGAGCCAAGTAGGTTGTAACTGCAAGGGCATGTCCTAATGTCTACAGCAGAAAAATGATAAATGATGCATCCTGCCTTCATTTACACTACCTTAGAAGCTGTTAAACGAGGAGTGATAGGATAAGCGTCGCATCACAAAGGCCAGTTGAAAGCGGTTTAAATATTTCAGTTAGAAAAACAATAGCTTTTAGACTGGGTTTATGGCAATAGAGCTGATGAAAAGTTGTTAAATTTGAGACCTAGTTTTGGCAGCAGAATCAATGCAAATTGACTAATGGATTGGATATGGGATGTGAAAGAAAGGAAAGAATTAATAATGACTAGGTTTTTGGCTTGGCAACTGGGGTGTATGGTGCCATTTACTGAGTCAGAGAAAACAGGTGTGCAGGGGACACAGATTTGAAGGAATGCACAATATCAGGGTCCTGTTTTGTATGCTTACTTTGGAACATGTGGTACCTCCAGTGGTGGATGTTGAATAGGCAAATGGATGGGCTCACAGAGAAATCTGGACTGGGAAAAATCTGGAGATTCGTCAGTATGTAGATAGTTTTTAAGATATTGAGACTGGAAGATGCCACATGGGAAAGAGCATTGATAGAGAATAACAGAGTGTCTGGCATAGAAAAGCACAACTTTTGGAGGCATTGTGGAAGAGGAAGAACCAACAACTAAGACAGACAGAGTTAGGAAGAATGGCTGGAAAATGCAGCATTACAGAAGCCTAGAGAATGCCATGTGAATGCTAAGAAATCAACATATAATCAGTGGTAGTTTGATAACTATATTTTATTTAAGGATTGAGGATAACAGCTGGATTGGATTGCATACAAAAATCATAAGACAGAAAAATTGGAAATAGCAAAAAACAAAATGATTTTCAGGCATTGTGTAGAGAAGTAAAGTAGTGATATGGGCCAATAATTGGCAAGGAAACAGGAAGGTTTTTTTTAAAAAAATGATATATATTAAGTCATGCTGCTGTCAATAGGAATAAGTCTGTGGGAAAAGAGGAAGAGAATGAATGATGTCATAGAACCTGAAGCTGAATAAATACCTGAGAAAAACCCTTGTTGGTGGGAGGGGATGGATTTGAGAGCTCAGGTAGAGGCGGTGATCTTAGATAGGAGGAAGGACACATGTTTTATGTAGCCAAAGAGAAAGTAGAGGAGGTGAGCAGAGATGTAGGCAAATTAATGGATTTGGTGGTTAAAAGATGAAATATTTCTTACCCAAAACTATGAAAAGAAATAGAAGGTTTGTTGCCCTAAGGGAACAAAGAACCAGGGGATACCTTGTAGCTATTTTCAAGTATTTGAGGATAACTATTCACTAACAGAATTTATAAACTAGCAATCTTGGTAGATACTATTCTAATATACTGGAAATACAAAGATAGAAGACCACCTTTTCTATCCTAATTAAGGTTATAGTACAGTAAACACAATTAAAGTACAATGCAATAGTTGTTTATGTTGAAGGTATTTTCATGTAAGAATGAAAAAATAGGGAAAGACATGTTGGTCATGGAAGAATTCATGGGCTTTTACAGGGAAATGAATTAAATGTTTTCTGTATGATTCTGAGGTGGGAAATACCTATCAATACCTAGAAGGTACACAGATTGTAATACACATAACTGTTCAAGAATGCCTTGGAATGTTTTGAGTTCCATGAAAGGGGAGATGTCTCAGAGAATGGTAATAATAAAGAAGGGATATTTCAAGTGACATGAAATAGCTGAGTACTGATTCCACTAGGCTAGATAAACATTACACTTCCTTCTGAATCTTAGTTTCTGTGTTTATACGATGCTAATGTGTTGGGTCTGAAAGATAAGTTCATGCTGTGAGCACTAACAAAAACACACAAATTGATAACCAGGTCAGTAAGAAGCAGAAGGAAAATAGGGATGTACTCAATATTTTTGCTTTAGGCATTTTAAATATGAAGCAATTTTCTCATTTTATGAAACTTTTTCATGGACTGGCAGTAAGCAGTTTTGAGGAATGAGAGCCTAGCAAAAGGATCTGCAGTGTTGCAAGGCAGCAGACATTACTGCTTACTATGCCACAGAATTTTTTTCTCTCTTTCAGCTTTTCTGGAAATCCAGGGTGCCCAACCCAGTGGCAAGTTAAAGCTTTGTCCTCATGCTCACTTCCATGAACTAAAGACAAAAAGGGCAGATGAGGTGATATGCTTTGAAATACGGAGACACAAGATTACTCATTCAGACAAGACACTGGGGACTTACTGGAATGGTTTAGCTCTCGTCACAAAGGCCTTAAGATCAGGAAATTATCTAACCAATTGGTCTTCACATTACATTTTCTGTTTCTTCCATCTTATTTTGGGACACAGTCTAAACTCTCCACCACCTAACTTAAGCCAACTTCATACAGTGAACACTTACACCACATACATGCTTTCAGTCTGGTTTTCTGCCTCTTTCCTCACGAGGGTGTATTTTCATGCAGAAACTTTGTGTCACTTACTCTATATTTATATTGGCCTGTTGTGTATGAACTTTGCAGGCAAAAGAGAAAAGTCCTGGGGAAAGTCATTCTGTGTGTATTAATTGCAGATATATCCAGTGATGGAGAAAGAGAGGCGAACATGCCTGGCCTCAACATCCGCAACAAAGAATTCAACTATCTTCATAATCGAAATGGTTCTGAACTTGACCTTTTGGGGATGTGAGATCTACTTGAAAACCTTGGATACTCAGTGGTTATAAAAGAGAATCTCACAGCTCAGGTAATGGCTCCAGAGAGAAGAACAAGCTGCTTCCCCTCCACCTCCACCTTTAGACACTTTTCAACCTCTTACCTCTTAATTGGCAGCTGAAAGAGCAAGATGTATGATATTATAGGAATTATATTTTCTCCAGAATAGGATCCCCTGGATTTTAGCCTTCTCTAATGCACAGTCTTATAGCATATGAGTATGCGTATGTGTGTGTGTGTGTGTGTGTGTATTTACAGAAATTCTACGTAGCAGAGTTTTAGTAAAAATATTGGGTCTTTCGATGTTCACAATCTGGGAGACAGCTACTACTTGATGGTCTGCATAAGACAAAAGCTCTGCACCCTGAAATGTCTGATACCTACAGAATTATCTTGTGAGATTTTTACAATGGCATGAGCAAGTGTCTTAATGTAAAGGCAGGTATAGGGGGAACAAATCACACACACACAAATATGTAATGAAACAGTTGTGTTTCTAGCTCTATTTTGCAAAACTTTAGAGAGACCATTTTAAACTAACTTTCTGCTGCTCCATAGTGAATGAATTTCATATTTTTAATATTTGTCAGTTTTATCTTTTAAATAAAAACTTACAAGAGTTCCATCATTAAACATATTATAGCAAAATGGTCCTATTGGTGTATTGTCATCTCACTTGGCCTTCATTTTATTCCATCTCCCAGCATCTTCAGAAACCTAAGGTTTTACTAAAAACCACTGGGCAAGATACTACATAAAAACCCTACTAACTTTAATATTCTATACAGCTAAATTTTCTAGTTTTATGTCAGAACACTGTTTATCTTATAATCCTATTCAGTCTAAACCATCTGATTCCTCAGTGCTGGCTCCTTTTTGTGAACCCTACCCATTATTTGATTACAAACTACATACACATGGAGACTTCCTCGATAGTGACTCAAGGGTCTCTTTCAGGAAATGGAAACAGCACTAAGGCAGTTTGCTGCTCACCCAGAGCACCAGTCCTCAGACAGCACATTCCTGGTGTTTATGTCACATAGCATCCTGAATGGAATCTGTGGGACCAAGCACTGGGATCAAGAGCCAGATGTTCTTCACGATGACACCATCTTTGAAATTTTCAACAACCGTAACTGCCAGAGTCTGAAAGACAAACCCAAGGTCATCATCATGCAAGCCTGCCGAGGCAGTGAGTCCCCAATTAGAAAGCTGTAAATCTTGATTTTGAGACCCCAGGGAGTGGCTGTGCACTTTTAAAAATTAGCCTGGTGTTCATTTTCTTAGGGATGGGCAAGAGAAACAACATTTCAGTACTACTAGGTCCAGTGCACTTCGAAATTGTATTAAGTCCCTACCATTTTTTAAAGAAACTATAAGTACAATGATTGGAAACATCCCAATCATCTGGGACTATGTTGTCAACATGGTTGTTCTAAACTCAAGTGGGGTCTGTTTTGTTCCCAGTAAGTGAGGCGGTATTTCTAGTAGTAAGGTACTTGCATTTTTAAGTAATGCCATGATAAAATATACTTAAGTAAAGATATCAGTGTAAAAGAGAGAGTCTGTGTGTATGCATATGTATATGCGTATGTGTGTATGTGTGTATGCATATGTGTGTATGTGTGTGCATATGTATGTGTATGTGTGTAAATATGTGTGTGCATTTGTGTGTATGTCTATGCATATGTGTATGTGCGTGTGTATGTGTATGTGTGTGCATATGTGGATGTTTGTGCATATGAGTATGTGTGTGCATATGTGTATGTGTGTGTGTATGTGTATGTGTGTGTATTTATAAATATCTCTTCTTTAATTAGACATAATGTCTCTCCCAGATGGTGCTGGGATTGTTTGGTTCACCACTGACAGTGGAAAAGCCAGTGCAGATACTCATGGTCGGCTCTTGCAAGGTAACATCTGTAATGATGCTGTTACAAAGGCTCATGTGGAAAAGGACTTCATTGCTTTCAAATCTTCCACACCACGTAAGTGATTTCAGAGAGAATAATTTCTAAATTTCTTAGTAGGTTTCTAGATAGTAGGCTTGGCTATGATCATATCTTATCACCGAAAAGAGCATTTCTTCTCTAATTACCAGGATATTTTAGGTGGAGAAAAGATTTAAAATGCTGAGACTTTCATAATTAGAAAGCTATAAATCTTGATTTGGGAAGAAACGTTCAAAGTTAACAGGACTTTGGAAGGACTTTGGTGAGCATCAAGACTTGGAATAATCTAACTACAAAAAGTGAGGCATTATTTGATTTTGTTTTTAGAATGTAGCAATGGCACAGAAAGGTATCATTTTCTCACAGTGTAGCTCCACAGCCACTTCCCAGCAATTAAAGAAGCCAACCACTAAAACCATTATACTTGCTCCACACATCCCAGTAACTCTTGACCTATTATTATTAATCTAGTTTCAGGAAACTAGTTAACATTTAAATGCCTAAATGTTAACTAATTTAGGATAGTGAAGTCACTGAATAAAAAATCAGTCCTTTGGCAGGAAAGTCATAATACAATGGAAAAATAGAGAATATTCTTGACCGCTCATGGTCAGAATTGCAGGAAATCTCTTTAACGATCATCCACAATATTATTCTATCAATGATTTGGAGAACAGGAGCAATTTTTAAATACCTCCTTTGCACAGTTCACAGTTCTAAATGCTCAATTTAGGGATTTCAAATTTTAATCAACATAGAAATCACTTGATTTCTTATTCAGTAGTTTGCTTATTCAGTAGATTTCTTATTCAGTAGGTCTGGGGTGGGGCCTGACTTTCTGCCTTTCTTAAAAGCTTTGTTGTGATTAGGGCTGTTGTTTGTGGCTGCATGTGAGCACTGAGGGACTAGAGGACACTCTGAGTCCAGCCTGGGGAATAAATAACTAGAGTAGCTTCCCTTCTATTCATGTAATGTATTCGAGTTTTAATAAGTTTTATTTGAATAATAAGTTCTACACTTACAGCTGTTGAAGGAAGTTAAAGAGGTATATAAGGCCTGGTACAAATTTTGAAAGTATACTTAATTTAGTTTGGGAAATACAATATAATATGCAAAATTGTTTCTTTCTCCTTCCTTTCTTCCTTCCTTCCTTCCTTTCTTCCTCCCTCCCTCCCTCTCTCGATCCCTCCCTCCCTCCCTCTCTCTCTCTCTTTCTTTCTTTCTTTTCTTTCTCTTTCCCTCTTTCTTTCTCTCTCTCTCTCTCTCTTTCTCTCTTTTCCTTCCTCCCTTCCTTACTCCCTTCCTTCCTTCTTTCCTTCTTTCTTTTACATGTAATTGTGTGCTAGGCCTGGGCTTGGTGCAGGACATAGGATGCACAATTAAAGCAGGTATGGTTACTGAACTTCATGGAGTTTGCAGTCAGAAAGGCAGGCACTAACTGTGGGAAAAACACAGTTACAATATAAGAAGAATAAATAATAATTGTCAACTCTGGTAAAAGCCTTAAAAAATATGTGTTCACATTTGAGAAATGAAGGAGTTAACAAATGAAGGGTAAGAGCAGAACTTTTTAGTCAGGAAAGGCAGTGCATATGGAGAACTTACAGACAAAAAAGGAGCTTAGGAGAGGAGGCTGAGTGGCTGGAACACAGCATCAGGAGAGATGCTAGTGGAGAGGCTGGAGAGTGAGGCAGGCACTGAAACACCTGAGGCCTTACATGGTCCTTCATACTAATAGTAACAGGAAATTCTAGTAGGCTGTAAGCAATTAAATGATAAGATTTTTGTTTTTGAAGACCATTCTGGAGGTTCAGTGTGGAATAAATTATAGTACAGCAAGAGTCGATACATGAGGACAGGTTAAATGCTAGCACAATATTGCAAGCCATAGATGATACTGATAGTCTTGGGATGTAATAAGTTGTATCTAAGAAACAATTAGTATACAAAAATAATATGACTAACCACCCAGTGGTTTGGTGAATATATGTCAGGTGAACAAGAAGGTGTGATAGAAGTGACTCCAGCATGCAAGTAAATGGTGGGGCATCAATTAAAACGTGAGTTTTGCAGTAAGTTTTGAAGTGCTTTGGCATATTTTAAGATGAAATGAAGAGTAGAGAGTGGCACAGTTGTATATTTCAGAGGAGAGATTTGCATTCAGGATAAAATTTTGAGAGATGCTGCCCTAAGGATAATATTTAATATCTTAAAAATGGATGAAATCATCTAAGAATTGAGAATCGCATGAGAAGAGGCCTTGAAATGGAGGTTAAAATTACCCTAGAGTTCAATATTAGAGAAATAGGAACCAGCAAATTTGACTCACAAAGTAGAATCAGAGAATAAGAAAGTACACAAGGAGTATGCGTTGTCAGACTTTAATGTGAATGAAAGATCAGGTGAAGGTGAGGCTTGATGAATGACTATTCGATTTAGTAACTTGGAGGTAATGGTTACCTTGGGGAAAGCCATTTGGCAAAGCTGATGTTAGGTATAGGAAGGAGAAGCCTGATAGGAGTGAGCAGGATAAGGGAAATGGAATGGTGAATATAGACCGAATTGGAATTTTGACTTTAAAAAGTAAGAAGAAATCAGCAGCTGGCGGCAAATAAAGTAGTAGTTAGAGAAGTATTGCCTTTTTTTCTAAATTATAGGAGCAACTTGGTCATCTTGAAATGGTAAACAGAAGCAGTCCTTGAAAATATTTTTATACAACATAACAAAAAGTGCAAAAAAAATATAGTATGAAACAACTCAGGATGACATTCCCAGAATCAAGGAATGTCAAGGCTGTATTATTTTTCTGTTATGTAGTTAGTGCTGAAAGGACTTACACTCTTTTCCACTACTTGCAAACCCAGAGGATATCACTTCGGTCTAGCCTACTAGAAAATCAAGGTGATTTATGAGTGAGGAAGGTCCATGATGGCTTTTTCTGGGCCTGGTATGGAAGTTGGAGGTCCATCTTTATTTAGCATTGGTTTCCCTCTCTTCTCCAAAGAAACAAAATCAGATTTTTTTTCCCAAAGTTATGTCTCCAGGAGTCTTCCACATGTATAAAAGATCACATCCTCCAATATTTTGATGCCTTTTATTTGCAGATAATGTTTCTTGGAGACATGAAACAAATGGCTCTGTCTTCATTTCCCAAATTATCTACTACTTCAGAGAGTATTCTTGGAGTCATCATCTAGAGGAAATTTTTCAAAAGGTAGGGTCTTCTTTTATTTTCAATGTTATGCCCCAGAAAACTTTGGAGAACCATTTGTGAATTTTTATAAGAAATCCCAAAGCTCTAATTCATCTTGACAATCCTTCCTGTACTCCAAGTTTATTCAAAGATGGGGTCTTCCAAAATGCTACATAGAACCATTGTGGGTTTTCCCAATAACCTGACTCTGATAGCTTTGTTCACCCAGGGAATTCTTTTTAGAGTAACAATTCATTTGTGAATGTGCTATACCTAAGGAAAAGCTAAAAATATCTTCTGTTTACATTACTTAGCTACAACCTTAATACACACCATGACTTTTCTCACTCCTGAGTCAGGTTTTCCTTTTAGAACATCTCTAAAGGCTTTCTTTACCATTTTAGGTTCAACATTCATTTGAGACCCCAAATATACTGACCCAGCTGCCCACCATTGAAAGACTATCCATGACACGATATTTCTATCTCTTTCCTGGGAATTAAAACTCATAAGAAGCAACTCAGGTAAATATATTCTAGAAGTGGATTTGGGTGCTCCCTGCTTAGTCTATTCAGAAAGTCTGGATAGAATGGAGAATAATGATGGCATGTCAGCTGCCCACTAGTTATAGAGGCTCGTGTTATTTGCCTTTTCTTAGTGACCCCCAGCGAAACCCTGGTTTTATATGACATCAGTCATAGTACAATGGTTGTATAACTAATGGTAGCCCAATAGTGGTCAGCTAGAAAATCCTTTATGTCTAATTTCCCTCAAGGAACTACTCAGAGAATGGGGAATATTGGATTCTGATGTATGCAGAAAGTAAAGTCATTGGAAATGTGATGTATAGCCAATGTTTGTCTCTCTTCACCCAAAAGTCAGTTTTTGTGAGTCATGTTCTCCTCTCTTTGTGATGAGGCTTTCCTGTACCATATGTCCCACTAGCTGCTAAATCTATGCTGAGGCAATGAGACCCTAGTACAGGTCTTCCCATTTGGGGATGACAGATCCGTAGCCCTTTTGTAAAAGTATTTCTCACAGTAGACATTAGTTATATTTACATCTTACCGATAATAGCCAGATTACTCATGTTCTTTTCTTCTACTTTCTCTAGGAAAATGAAGGCATTATGGTGTCTATGAATCTGCTATTAGAAAAGGTCAATTTTTGATTAAGAATATTTTTATACCAAACTGCTCAGCTGTCCACCTTTTCAAATACCAGGCTAAAATCAATCTCATATTTTTGCTAAATTAATGCTTAATAAATTTTTATTATAAAATTGTGCTTGTTTTCTAATTTTGTCATAAATTAAGTCATGCTTATAGGAGAAAAAATTAAGTATTAAAAATCATAAAAAATGAAGAAATAATCATCATCAACCTTTTTAAAACTATTCATAAAAACTCAAGTTTTTTATATAGCTTATTTATTTTGTATATCCAATTTTGTGTGCTTTTATTATATTGTTATAACATTACTACTAGTAATAAAACTATCCTAAATATAACTTTTAAGTTTATAATATTCGTCAGGTATATATAGGGCATACTATTTAACTTTCACCTGACTTTTAGATGTTGATTTCAATATTCATTTATTTTATTTTACTTTTTTTTTATTTCAATAAGTTTTGGGGAACAGATTGTGTTTGGTTACATGAATAAGTTCTTTTGTGGTGATTTATGGTGCACCCATCACCCGAGCAGTGTACACTGTATCTAATGTGTAGTCTTTTATCCCTCAACCCACTCCCACCCTTTCCCCTAAGTCCCCAGAGACAATTGTGTCATTCTTACGGTTTTGTGTCCCCACAGCTTAGCTCCACCTGCTGCTCTGTCTGTCCAGGTGCGAGCTGCAAGTTAGGCCTGATTCTTATCTGTTATTTTCTCTGAAGTCTCCTATTTATTTTCTTTCTTTCTTTCTTTCTTTCTTTCTTTCTTTCTTTCTTTCTTTCTTTCTTTCTTTCTCTTTCTTTTTCTTTCTTTCTTTCTCTCTTTCTTTCTTTCTTTCTTTTCTTTCTTTCTTCTTTCTTTTCTTTTTTTCTCTCTCTTTCTTTTTCTTTTTTTAAAATTTATTTTAAGTTCTGGGATACATGTGCTGAATGTGCAGGTTTGTTACATAGGTATGCATGTGCCATGGTGGTTTGCTGCACCCATCGACCCATCATCTAGGTTTTAAGCCCCGTGTGCATTAGGTATTTGTCCTAATGCCCTCCCCCAACTTAGCCCCCACCCCTGGACAGGCCCTGGTATGTGATGTTCCTCTCCCTGTGTCTATATGTTCTCATTGTTCAACTCCCCCTTATGAATGAGAATATATGGTGTTTGGTTTTCTGTTCCTGTGTTAGTTTGCTGAGGATGATGATTTCCAGCTTCATCCATGTCCCTGCAAAGGACATGAACTCATTCTTTTTATGACTACATAGTATTCCATGGTGTATATGTGCCACATTTTCTTCCAGTCTATCATTGATGGGCACTTAGGTTGATATGATTATGAATATGTTTAACTTTTACTTTTGTCTAGAAAGAGGTTTATATTCTTAGAATGTATTACTAAAAAGTAGAATTACTGGATCCATACACTTAAACTGTTTGATAAATTATTGCCAAAATTTTTTGCCAAATTATATGCATAGAAGAAATTCAAGATAATGACTGGTAGGTAGAGGAATTTTTTTTTAAAAAAATCATTACTGATATAATAGGTAAAAATAGTCAGTTTCATTGACATGTCTTTTGTTATCGACATTATTTGACATTCTAACCACTTTATTTGCTGTGTTTTAGTGAACTGTTAATTTATTTTTTAAATTTTATTTCAAATTTTATATGTGTTTTCCTTATCAATTTGTATAAATCCTTTATATATGACAGTGTATTAGCTCATATAACATTAGGTCATATAATATTTTTAGTTAGTTCTTTGATATTATATTTTCTGTATGATATGTGATGTGGAATACTCACATTTTCAGTAATAGAATCCATTTATATTTTCTTCTGTGTTTGTTTTTATATTTTCAAGCTTAAATATTGTATCACTACCTATAATTTCTTACAATTATATTAAAGATATATTTAAATATCTTATTCTCCTTTAAATTTTATGAATTCATTCTCTAAACAATATGATTTTGCAGTGAAATGTGACATGGGGATATTATTGATTTTTTCCAATGAATTACCAGTTGTCAATGATACACCACTTGAATCATATATATATAATCATATATATATATATATACACCAATTGTAACATTGTCTTTAATATTAATTTATAATGTGTTATGGAATGGGTGTCTTGGACGATATTTAAGAAAAATACTGGACATTGGTATCTACTTTAGAGAAACTTTTACTACGAGGGATTAAAACTCACTCAAACTAGCTTAAAGAAAAAGTTTCGACATAAGCATACAACAGGTAATCTCATATTCCTCCATTATAAAAAGCAAACCACAATTAGGTCTCTGGAGATATGGTCTAGAACATTGAAAATCAGGTAATCATTCTCTTTGATTAGCATCTTCATTGTGTAATGACTCCTTCTGAATCATAAATTTTCAGATTACTAATTATGGTACTTTTAATAAATTAGCTTATCTGACACCAGTTTCCAGGTATGAAGTGGGCGTGCTAGTATCTGACTCATATTGAGCAGGTATAATATTATGTGCATGTAGCACCTCCCTGTTGCACTGCCTGCCACACAGTGGGCAATTGTTTATGGTAGAGATAATTAGTGTTACATTCACCGATTCATCTTTCAGGACTTATGCTGTATTACATTGCTAATTACTGTTTGATCATCCTCTTTAGCCCTTTCTTGTTCTTACTGTCCTTAGTCACATACTGTGTGTGTTTCCAGGTAAATTTTATAATGACTGTATAAGTTTTCTGATAATTAAAATAGGGTTCTAATGGAATTTAAATGTGTACATTTGTTTATCTAGAGCTATGGTTTTCAAATTTATTGTCATGCATTTTTTAATTTTTGAGCAAATGTTTATATTTTTCTTTGTATAACTTCCTCAAATTTCTGAATCAGGATATACCTAGACATTTTGTATTTTGTTACTATTTTGAATAAGAATGTTTTCCTCCAACATTTCTAACTGATCAATGCTGTGGATGTAAAGGAAAAAAAAATGACAGATTCCCTAGATTCTTAAATATATATGTCCGTTTTCACGCTGCTGATAAAGACATACCCAAGACTGGGGAATTAACCACAGAAAGAGGTTTAATGGACTTACAGTTCTAGTTCTACATGGCTGGGGAGGCTGCGGAGGAACAATCATGGCAGAAGGCAAGGAGGAGCAAGTCATTTCTTACCTGGATGTGGGCAGGCAAAGAGAGAGAGCTTGTGCAGGGAACTCCTCTTTAAAAAACCATCAGATTTCATGAGACTCATTAACTATCATGAAAACAGCACAGGAAAGACCCACCTCCATGATTTGACCACTTCCCACCAGGTTCCTCCCACGACACGTGGGAATTGTGGGAGTTACAATTCAAGATAAGATTTAGGTGGGGACACAGGAAAACCATATCAATATGTAAATTATATATATATACATATATGCAGTTTTTGTAAATATCAAATTATATATCCATATTAGCAGCTTTATTGAGCATTCAATTCATGGATCTAGATAATTTTTTGTTTTATCCTTTGAAAATTAATTACGTAAAATTTTATTATCCACAAATTCTAGATTTCTTTCTCACCAATATCCACAGTTTTTATTTTATTTTCATAAAGTTTTATATTTATTATATGTCTAGATTATATAGCCAATTAAAATAATGATAGCGAATATTCTGAATTATTATCTTAATAGGAATTCTTCCAGTTTCCTGATTAAATATATTTCCTGTTGATTTTTAGCTAGCTTTTATATAATTAAATGTATATTTACATTGCTATTTTTCATATGATTCATCTCTCAGTGTTATTTGAAGTCCTCATGTAGAATAGATAGAATAAATGGAAAGTATAATCTTTGTATTTAGAATACTTATATGATCATACTAGCCAGTGGTCTAATATGAAGCAGTGATTGCTTTCTTAGTATGACATCTTTGTAATGTAGGTTTATTTATTTCTTCTACACTTAAAATAATTTTGCTAATAGTTGATTTTGAAATCCCATATTTATATTTATAGAAGGGATTCTCATCTTTCTTGATTTATTTTTCATTATTTCATAGGATATTTTTAATAATACATATTTTTTAGGGAGCTACAAATGATATTTTTTAATAAACCAATAATACTTGAACATGTTTTATACCTGAGTTCACCTATAAGTTAACCTATAAGCACATATAAAGGCCAGCCTGTTTAATCCTTAATAGTTACTATTAAAAACTATCAAAATGATGTAAATTTTTAAAATAAATTACCAATATATGTTTGCATGTGTGTAGTGATTATTTTAACTTTTCATCTAGATGAAGGCTTAGTTATGCAAACTAAAAACTCTTTATTTTGTTTTAATCTTGAGAACACTGGCAATTTTGTAAAACTATCCAAACAGAACTAAAAATTATAAAGAGGGAAGTGAAAATCATCTATGTTCCACAAGATGCCATATGTTCTCTCATTTTCACCTTTCTGTCTTTCTTTGTCTCCTCACATACAAAGACATATACAATGAGAAGCATACTGTACAAGCCACTCTATGACCTGCTTTTCAATTTTCCTTAAAAATAATCACCTAGAATTAAATTGAGTAACAGATATGTGAAGAATAGGTGACATAAATGGAATAAATTCAGAAATCTTCGGGATGACAATCTATGGTGCAACTTTAGGGTGCCATATTTACATAATTTTCTGATTTTTCTCATCCTTTGTCCGTCCCACCTGCCCACTGCCACCAGCTGTCTTTTCTGTCACTCCTCTGTGAGTGCCTGCCTTTCAAAGGTCACCTCTTGGTTCAAGGTGGCTACCGGAACTACAGCCATTACTACTATTAAAAGCATACTCCAGCCAACAAGGAGGAAGAGAGGAAAAAAACACATTTGCCCTCCCTTTCAGGGAATCATTTATGCTTATAAGCCATCAACCAGAATTTAGTAACAGAGCAACCCTTAGCAATGAGATGAAAAGTGACATATTCATTGCATGTTACCACATGATTAGCTAAATACTGGGGATTCTATTAGGAAAGGAAAAAACAATATTGGGTCTCAACTGGCTGCCTCTGCTGTGCATTGTTTCCACATTTAATAGCTACCCAATATTCCTTTTAATAGGTGTACTAGAATTTATTTTATGAATTTAGGTAATTTCTAAATTTGTTATCTTAAGAATTTCTGTAATAAAACTTCCCTTGTACATATATCTTTAAGTTTCTGTCTGATAAAATTATTGGAATAAACTCTCAGAACTGAAAAGAGTCAAAAGCATTAAATTTTAACTTTTCTGTGTAAGGTATTGTTAAGAAAATTGTCCAAATGGGTACTATCTGTGAGCAGAAAGTGACAGGGCCCATTTATCTATAGTTTCACCAATGTGATATATAGTTAATCCTGTTGATTTGTCAAGCCACAAATAAAATCACTTTAAATTTTAGGTATTTCCTTTATAAATTGGTTAAGCATCCTTCCATATGCATATTGGTCACTATACACAAGTTACATGTTAGCTGGTGTCTCCTATTGCCCACAGGTTCTACACATGTTTGCTTTGCACTTAAAGGAACTATCTTCTGGGCTACCTCTCCAAATTCAAACCCCACCAAGCTTTTCCTCTTACCTGCTAGGCACATTCTCACTTTAGAATTTGCTACCATTACCATCACTGCCCAAAATAATACCCCTTCTCATCACCATACTCATATGGTATGCCACTGCACTTATTTCAGCCCTTATTGGCAAAATCTAATAAAAAGCTATCCGACCAAGGAAAAGTAGGGTTTGCAGAATTCCAAACCTGAGATCATAGAGCAAAGTATGAAAGGATGAAATTAAAGTTGATAAATAATTGTTTAATGACTGGTACAGTGCACTGCTGTGTCCTATGTAACTTATCAAAATCATTCTGCTCTTCTTAGTGTTACAGTAGCATTACCACAAAAGCAGAATCAGATTGTTTGTACCTGTATCATTCAGAATTTGATCAGAGAAGCAGAATCCTCTGAAAGCTGTTTCAATGGTCTATGTGAAGCTGATGCTTCTTTGTCTATGACTGGAACCTGTAGGGTACCTGGCAGGGTAAGCAAGAGGTGAGTGAAAATAGACTTGATGGTAAAGAAGCAAGACAACCTAAAACCTGTATGAATCAGCTAAAAACTGAAAGACTGGACTAAACTCATTCCAGTCTCTCACTGTTGCTATGCTTCCAACTTTGGAGATGGGTGTGTTCTGCAGAAGGAGCTAATGTTAAACTCATACCTGGATCTAAGTAATCATCTGATTGAAGAATTGAGGAAGCTGAAGGAGAAAACTGACTGGACCCGCAGGAACGGTGGGCCTGGCTGTTTCTCCAACCAACCACAAGAGTGGCGACAGACCTAAGTTGCAACGTGGCTCGTGTTTTTCACCAGGCTTCCATGTCTAATAAATTATGGTTGCTGCTTTACTCTCATCTTCCAAATCTCAGGAAAAAACAGCTCCTGTGGCCTAAGCTAACCTGGAACTACATATGGAGAGGAATTCTGAGAAACTTAGTTTCAGCTTAGTTAAGTTGACACAATAAAAAACTAAAACATTGGCCTGCATGTAGTACACTATAAATATGTATGTATAAATAGTCATATATATTGATCCACTGACTTCTCTTATCACTTCTACATTTTCTCCTTAGATGAAATCATGTAATTTCATTGTATTCAATGTCATCTATATGTTGCTATATTCCCAACTTTGTATATACTCAATAGATTTGTCTTCTAAGTTTCACATCAATATTTAACAAATTGACAACTGGTATATTTTTGGGACATAATTCCAAAACTGGATTTATATTTATCACGTCTTTCTACTCCTCAATTAACTCTTCCTTCATTCTTCCCACACTTCTTAGTGAGTGATACTTATACAGAACCAAAAAACTTGGAGTTATCCTTGATATCTTTTTCTCCTGCAAATCCCACATAAAATCAGTCACCTAGTTCTGCTAATTTTCTCTCAGTTTCATCCATTTTTCCACATCTGGTGTGGTAGGCCCAGGCTAAGGCAAAAATCATCTCTCAATTGAAGTATGACAAATGTCTCTTAATTCCTTTAAAAAATGCAAGCTCTCTTTTTTTGGTCTGGAAAAATATTGGGGAATACAATGAACAAATTTTGTGATTATAACAGTAATCAAATTAGAGGGATTGGCTAATGGCATTATGTAATGGGATTTTGCTGTACTGTTGAGAATATTCAGTTCTGCTATAGAAGATTAAAAAACAAATAGGATGGATGGAATTCATAAGAAGTGCTAAACATGGACAACAATATGCTGGAAAATAAGCATGTGAGATATAGGCAAAACCCACAGGATAGGTTTATTATATATAATGAAAAAGAAGTAATTTGTGAGACATAGGTAGAATTCAGATGATCTGGTAAAACAGATAGTAAGTTAGTAACCTGTATGACAACCAGAGATAGAATAAATAGAAAATGTGATGGAACAAAAATATGCTGCTTAGATGCAAAGGATGAAAAGACCCACATCTTGAGGATGCCACTTCTTCTTGATCAAGAACTTTATTAAACCTCAATTAGCCACCACTTGTTGACACACAGCATGGTTCTATTCTAGTCCTACCCAAGAAGTTCAATAAGATACCAAGTATGGTTCTATTCTGATCCTGCCCAAAAGTGCAAATAAAACCAAAGGCTGTTCAACAAATGAATTGATGCTACTCTTGCATCAAGCACACTTCTCCTGCATCTCTCTGAAAGAGGAGGTTTGTGTCCTTGGTTCAGGATATCTTCCCTTGGGGCCCTTCTCTGTTCAGACATTAACTCTGGCCCTCATCATTGAACCAGCACCCATGAAGGCTGATGTTTCAAAAGAGAAGCAAGATTTATGCACATTGTGAACCCTAGGACTCAGGGAGTGTAGTCCTTTCACCCTGTTTGCACCTCTCTAAGTGAATTACCTTACCCCAATTCATTCTCCTTGTTTTTTGCTCAGTATTTTAATCAATTTAATAAGCCATGTGGTTTGGTCATTTTAATTTGGTCTGAAAGCCTTTCTGTTCCTCGACCTCTGGGATAGCTCACCAGTTAGTGCTTCCACTGCATCAAGGCAATTTCCCACATATTGCATTCTCAGCTAATGTAGTGTCTTTCTGTATTGAAAGAAGACTTGGGAAGGAGGCAAATGCTTCTCAGCATCATAATACTAAGGCTATCATTTTTCAAGTCAGGTCAAAGTCTAATTGATGGGATAAATTTATATTCCTTAATGAGACTAAACTATGTGTGCTTTAGAGAAAATGTAATATACTTAGAACTGGTGTGTCTGCCCTTAAGTAATTTAGGAAGAAATTCATCTTTTATGTTTACTGTTGGAGAGAATAGGGAATATTCCCCAACCCAAAGGAATAGATTCCCCAGGTTTCATCAGTGTGAGCATAGTCTGGGCAGAAGAAGAAAGTCTAAGGCACCAGACTTTGAATAATTCAAGAAGGAAAAGAGAAATGACTTTTATGATAGTTTAAGTTTCTAAAGAAAGGCAAGTAGAAGTGTTTTTGTTATTGAAAGTGGACCTCTGGAAGAAGACATGGATTTTGAAGACAAACTGAAAATTAAAATTAATTGAAACATACTAGATTCTTAAACTAGTGCATATATGAGCACGCACATACACTCCCACCCCACCCCCCCCACACACACACACTGAGGCATGAGAATAGGAAGTCACACTTTTTTCCTTCCTCTCTGTCTTATTTTCGTTTTACTTTCATAGCCCTTGATTCTCAGAACTGCTTAATCTTTTTCTGAAGTTCAGTGTATTTTTGGTCTGAAACGGCAATTCTCAGCAAAATGACACTCCTATTTTCTGATTATTTCAGAACTAGAAAAGCAAAGTGTTGGCCTTCTGAGATTTAAGAAAAAATCATATTGTTTATTTCTAGTCTCATGCACTCAACCAATCACTCACCTCCACATTTCTGACACTAGATGTATGGGAGTCTTGCCCCACACACCAAATAATTCTCCGGCAGACACTAGCTGGGTTTCCTATAATTCAATTTAATTCTGACACTATCTAGATAGATAATGGGATCTGGATAGTGTCTGATATGGTTTGGCTGTGTTCCCATGCAAATCTCATCTTGAATTGTAGTTCCCATAATTTCCATATGTCCTGCGAGAAACCTGATGGGAGGTAATTGAATCATGGGGGCTATTTTACCCATGCTATTCTTGTGATAGTAAGTTCTCATGAGATCTGATGGTTTATAAGGGGCTTCTCCCTTCACTTGGTTCTCATTCTCTCTCCTGCTGCCATGTGAAAAAACACATGTTTGCTTCCCTGTCTGCCAGGATTGTAAGTTGTCTGAGGTCTCCCCAGAGATGCTAAACTGTGAGTCAATTAAACCTCTTTCCTTTATAAATTACCCAGTCTTGGGTATGTCTTTATTAGCAACATGAGAATGGACTAATATGGTGTCAGATCCCACAAGTTAAAGGCTTATTACCATAAAAATTTCCCCCACTTCAAAGGCCAATTGCAAGTAGTAGGTTATCAACAATACTTCCTCTTAACCAGCTATAAATCATGTTTTGCATTAGTGGCTCACAGAAGTCAGAGAAACAGTTTACTTAGAATTACTGGCTTATTAATCATGGATATAACCAAGGATACAGATGAACAGCCAGAGGAAGAGGTACATAGGGTGAGGTCTGGAAGGATAGCTTCTGTCCCTATGGAGTTGAGGTGCACCATCCTCCCAGCACTCAGATGTGTTCACCAACTCAGAAGCTCCTGAACCCCATAGTTCAAAGATTTTTAGGGAGGCTTCATCATGTAGCCATGACTGATTATAAACTCCATTTGCAGCCCTTCTCTTCTCTTTGAGGAATGGGGGGTGGGGATGAGAGCTCCAAGCATATAACCACGGTTTAGTCTTTCTGGTGACCAGCCCCATCCTAAAACCCACCAAGTCACCTCATTACAACCAAAGATACTTCTATTACCCAGGAAATTCAAAAGGATTTAGGACCTCTGTGCCAAGACCCTACATCAAAGACCAAATATTAGAACAAACAATTAACCTACCACCTTTATCTACAATGTTACTAGGAGCTTTGTCTCAGGAATCAGGGCAGAGACTAAACATTAGAACAAAAGATTCTTTTAGCACCTCTATTGCTCAGAAAATTGCAATAGTTTTAGGAGTTCTGTGCTAGGGACTGGGGTTAGAGACCAATATGTGTATTTCTTATTACTTCACTGATCTTCCCTGTCTGAAGAAAAGTACAGAAAAGAAGATGTTCCCTGAGCATGAGAAAACAGGAGACCAATTTTCCTAATTTTTATTCATTGGGCAGCAAGTGATATCTTCACAGGATAACAAGTGACAGAAAGGAGAGAGTCTGCTAAAGTAATATTAGATATCCCCATCTCTTTTGCATCCTCGCCAACCCTACTCCTGCCTCTGATTCATTCTCGAAACAATAGCCTGAGTGGTCTTACAAAATCTTAAAACAAAAAATCCTTAACAAACCTTTCCGACGCTGCTAACTTCGTTTTATATAATTTGTTTTCTCTGAACCACATGCAGACAAGCAGTTTCTCACCTAAGGGCCTCAGGGCCTCCAGGCATTCACATGTTGTTTTTTTCTGCTTGTAATACAGTAATTTTCCTTTCATTGTCCATTGGGCTAACTCATATGCCTTCTTCAGCCATCATCTTAAGAGGCACTTCCTCAGAGAGGACTTCTCTGATCCTCAGTCTAAACTGGATATCCTGTTATTTACTGGCATAAAAATGAGATTTTAAAAAATCCTTCAATGTACTTGTCACAAATTGTAATTATATATTTACCAATTTTTTTGTTTAATGTCTATCCTTTCCTAAAACTATAAGCATTTATTAGGGTAAACGATCCCCCTTTTATTCTCATCTGCACAGAACCTACCAAATTATATAAAATAGAATTTGTGCTCAGAAATACTTAGGGAATGGAATAAATTCTCAAATAAAGCATATGTTCCCAAAATGTATATGGATTCATCATGTTAAATATACCAGAGATTAGGCTAGATGGGAAAGAAATCACATCATTTATAGATAAGAATTTAAATATCTTTTAGGATTCAAGTTCAAAGTGTTTTATTGTCATGGCAAAAGAGTAAATGACCATGATTAGATGCATTTACTCCATTATATTTTCAAGAGTGTTAAACATTAATCAGAACTTCCAAATAATCATGTTTCTCTCCCTTCTATTTAATTGTGAACAAACTAAGAAGTCCACACCCTATTCAGATAGTTAGAAATAAGCAAAACTCCTTTACCATTAAGTTGGTGTCCTAAGATTATTGTGAATATCTTTTGCCTGAAAGTGAGGCACTCTCCCATAATAGCACCCTTCCCCTGGCTGCATTCACAGACCCTAATGTGGTAAAATTATTTCATAGCAGAGAAGAGCATGAATACGATAGTCCCACCTTATCCGTGTTTTGTCTTCTGTGGTTTCATTTACCTGCAGTCAATTATGGTCTGAGTATTACAGGATTTTGAGAGGGAGAGAAAGACTATATCTACGTAACATTTTTACAGTATCTTCTTATATTTTTTATTTTACTATTAGATATTATTATCAATCTCTTACTATACCTAATAAATTAAACTTTATCATAGTATATGTACAGGAACGAGCACCGTAAATTTAGTGTTCAGTCCTATCATACATTTCAGGCATGCACTGACAATCGTGGAACATGTCTCCCAAGAAAGGTAAGAGGGGAAAACTGTGTTTTCTAAGCATATGCCCCTCCAAAAAGACGAAGAAGAGGCCAAACTGGTTATATGCAACATATTCTTATTTCACAGATTAGATAACTTACTTTCTTTCCCATTATGAGGAGTGAAAAGAAGGAGAGGACAAAGTGCAGAAGGCCTCCTCCGAGTGTTGACTCTTCCTGTGTAGTAGGACTGATGCTTTCTTTGTAGGCCAAGTTACAAATTCAGGAAGAAGGAGACCATGGTTTTGCCAACTTTCTTCTCTTTTCCTAGATATTTTCTCCTCCTCAGTTTATAGTTTAAACACTTCTTCCTGTGAAAGAAGTGACATAGGAAAGTCTATGTCACTTCACCTAAATCCACAAATTGCTACCCACTACCATTTACAAAGAAAGAAAATGAGAAAAACGTAACTTTTAAAATCTAAAGGATTGTAAATTATATGAAGAGGAAAAAAATTGCATAACACTCTACACACAGAGTTAAGAAAAGTAAAATAACGGCATTCAAACATTTTATCCAATTTTATATTAAAGGAAAACATAAAGAAGCAAAAAACCAATACAAGCAGCTTCCTTATGTTTAAGAAAGTAAGTGTGTGTGTGTGTGTGTGTGTGTGTGTACAGCAAGGTTTCTGATTTAGTAAATACTAAGAAAAGCAAGTTAGTCTTTCATTCTTTTTTAAACAATACCATCACGAAATTCTTGTTTTTCATCCCAGTTATCAACGGTTTGAAAGTAGCTATGTTTGGACCTGGACCATTCTCCAGCTCTTTTTGTTTGTATTACCCGTGCCCACCTAAAGGGCGAGCACAGGTCAGAGGACAGCCCCTGCTCCCAGGCCACACCCGCTCCCAGCTGCACCCTTACCTATGGCCTCGCTTGATGATGATGCCATTCTCAGTAGAGAAGGCGTCTAAGGGCAACCCTTGGATGTTCCAGTTCCAGACTTTGGTAGGATTGGACAGGAAGTTATCAACGGCAAAGCCAAGGGAGCAAGGAACCTGAAGCTCCCAGATCTTGAAAGTATCTGGTTAGATAGAAAGAAGTCCAGCTGAGAGAGCAAGTTGTTGCAGGAAAAAGAAAAGTGCACTCATTGGTTAACAAGCTAAAATTAATACCTTACATACACCCTGAAACACAACATTATAATTTCTATTTCTAATAAACTTAAAATCAAAACCACAATGAAAAAAAGTAAATACTACAAATTAAGAAATAAGAAAAAACTACTATTTAGAAATTATTTGCTTCTGGATCCTTCCAACAATCAAAACAATAAACTAGAAGTATTTTGTCCCTTTTCTCAAAACACTTAATATGGTATGGTAGCATAAATACATTAATTATGTTATTATTAATTTAATATGGATTTATTCTACTTTTTCCTTGATATCATGAGACATGAAGTATCAGTTATTATTTTTAAAGTAGGTGAGCATGGCTTTAATTCAAGTGCAAAAATTATAGTTTTTCATCTCTGCAGATGGTAATAAAAGAGTAGGGCATACATTTTTAAAGGTAAAAATAGATAGGATAATTTGAACACAGCAATTAACTCAGCAGCTTATCAGTACGTTTTTATTTTATTTCCTTTTAAGACAACGTTGTTTTCTATATTTGTATGAGAAATATTTAAATTGTAGTTTGTTTAAAGAGGCATTTATTTCAAGTGTGTAGTAAGCGCTGATTCTGCAATTATTGCTAATTAGAGAATTTCCAAATTGCCTGAAGTGTTGAGAACCTCATCATTTTATCATTATTCCTTTCTACTTTTACTTCAAATTTATGAAATGAAAAATATACTAAACTAAAATTAAACTTTCAAATACATAATATTGCTAAACTTTGTCTTTTAGCCACAATATATTACCACATTATAACCTTTCTATGTTTACAGTAGAGTTGGTACAAACTCAATAGTGACAGCTTTTACCTCAGTGACTCATCTATGCTAGTTCATTGGAAACATGTAAAGGTTATTTGTGCTACTAAATTTTGCATCCCCCAAACAAACAAACAAACAAAAAACAGTTTTCACTTCAAATATGAATTTAAAATATATGTTTGAAAATTAAACCACAATCTATATTGTAGCAGGGAGAAGATATTTACTTTAGATAGGACTTTCATTTTTATTTTCACAGATTGTGTTTCATTGTAAAATAACAGTGAAAGTAAATGGTAATAATTATTATTGTCCTTTCTGTAACTTCATGGAGAATCACATAAGGAAAAGTGGTACTAATCAGGGTCAACTTATGGTAAAGTGCTTTCCTTAAAATTTCTAAAAATAGGAAAAATAAGTCAAAATGGTTGAATCAAAGATGGGGAATTAATAAAGATTACTGCGTTCTCCCTTAGAGGATCTCTGAGATTTTGTCCTTATTATCACAAATTGGGCCAGCTCAACTTACATAAAATATAGTCAGATGATATGGCTACTTCATATTTGAAACCAATCCAATTCTCATATTAGTAAATATCTTTAATTATTTAATTCCCAATATTTTAGTAAATGTGGTAATAATTAAGTAGGTCATTTTAATATTAATTCCATTTACTCAGAGAACTGTATGAGATATTGAGGGTTAGGGAAAAGAATAAGAAATGACAGGTCTCATCACATAACATGAAATTTAATGGATTTGTTTATGAAACTACATGAAATTTAAGGTAAACATAAAATTTTATAAGTGAAGGTTGTATGTTAACACCATGGGGCAGTTTTTTATTTGTTTGTTTAGTTTTTAAAAAATGCTTTATTTTCTTCTATGTGTTCAGTACCTGGCATTTAGCAGTCACTCAATACATGTTTGTTTAATCAGTGAGGTTTCACGTTGGAAACAGTTAACTGTATCCATTTAGATTCTTAAAAGACTATTTGGTAAAAGTTTTATTTTCCACATGTCTTATAAAATTAAATTATACTCCCAAATAAAATGTGAAGGCTGGTCAATAATACAGAAAAAGGAGCCATGCTCTTACAAATATCACATAAGGACAAGACACTAAACATTAGTAAGGATGTACTATGTGACTTTCAATGATAATTGTAGAAAGCAACAGGAGTTTTTGAATATTGCATGCCATTCCTCCACTTTTCCCTCATTTTCTATTTAATAAGAGCCAGCTGGCCTTTGTATAACTGTTGTATAACTATTTTGCATAACCACAGATTCTTCTCTTCTGATATCTCTTAACTGTGGTCAGCATTTCTTTGACTTTAAAATTCTAAGATTCCTGTCCATTCAATAGCTTGTTGCATTTTACAGCCTTCATTTTCTAATTCTCACATATTTCTGGAACTACTGTTGTGTGACTTCTCTCATAATTAATTCATGGGAAATGCTCTTGACAGGGACACCAATTATTCATAAGCCAAAGTAAAAGTTAACTTGTTTCAAGCAAATATCACTGCAGACGTTTCCCTCCTATAGTCTCTGTATTCTGAGGCACTTTATTCACAGATTCTTCAAAAGCAGGCTCTTCTCCTGCAACTCACTTTACATTTGGCATTCTCAATTCCTCATTTCTAGCCTCACTTGCGATGCTTTACACGCTTTATCTGGAATATCTTATTTATTTCTAAGGATTCAGTGTTCTTGTATAAGGCTAAGACTCCAAAATCTGTATTTCCTGAGCTCTATAACCATAAACCCAACCCTTCATTCAATGTCACCAGTGGATGTATTACACAAACAACAGGTTCAAATGTGATGTCAACCCGTTCCTGTGTAGCTAATTTGTAATACATATTGATTTCTCCTTGTAGTGAAGGGTACTAGCATCCAGCTCATTGTCAAAGCCAGAAACAGGGAGCTCCCCTTGACTTCTCTCTTATTTTGTATATCCACATCAAGTCAACCTGTAAATCCTATATCTCTCAAAACTCCATGATTTTCATCTTCTTTTTTTTTTTCTAGCTTTATTGGGTATAATTGACAAAAAACTGTATCTATTTAATGTGTATAATAGAATGGTTTGATACAAGTGTACATTATGAAATGATTACCAGAACCAAATTGATTAATATATCCATTATCTAAGATCCTTACCATTGAGTGTGTGTGGGGATCTGGAGAACATTTAAGATCCACTCCTTTAGCAAATTTTAAACATATAATAGTGTATTAACTATATTCATCAAGTTATAGATTAGGTCTCCAGGATTTACTCACTCTGCATAACTGACACTTTGTACCCTTTGACCAACATCACTTTATTTTCCCACACCCCAGACCATGAAGACCACCATTCTACTCTGCTTCTGTAAGTTTGACTTTTTTTAGTTCCACATATGAGTGAGATCATGCAGTATTTGCTTTTTGAGCCTGGCTTACTTCACCTAACAAAAATGTTCTCCAGGTACATCCATGCTGTCACAAATGACAAGATTTCCTTGTGTTTAAGACTTCTTTGTGTTTAAGATTAAGCATGTAAAGCATGGTATTCTGTTGTGTTATATATATATACACACACACATATATATGCACACATATATACACACACACACACACACACACACACACAGCCTATATACAAAGGGTCATTTAACTGGCCAAAAAAAGGCACTTTTGACACTCAGTGTACATTGACCCAGGTTTCTGTATACATACATACACATTTACACACATGTATATATCTTAGCCATTCTAACAGTTGCAAAGTAATATCTCATTGTGGTTTTAATTTGCATTTCCCTAATTAGTAAGGCCGAGCATTTTTTCATACACCAGTTGTCCATTTGTATGTCTTCTTTTGAAAAATGTCTATTCTGCTCCTTTGCCCATTTTTTAATCAGTGTATTTGCTTTCTTGCTATTGAAATTTTTAAGTTACTTATACATTTTGTATAGTAAACCCTCATCAAACGCATGGTTTGCAAATATTTTCTGCAGTTCCATTGGTTGTGTTTTCACTCTGTTGTTTCCTTTATTGTATAGAAGATTTTTGGTTTGATATAATCCCATTTGTCCATTTTCACTTTTGCTGCCTGTACGTTGAGGTCATATCCAAAAAAACATTTCCCAGATCAATATCCTGAAGCTTTTTCCCTAAGGTTTCTTCTAGTATTGTTACAGTTTTGGGCCTTCAATCCATTTTGCAATGATTTTTTAAATAGTGTGTGATAAAGATCCAATTTCATTATTTTTGTATGTGAATATACAGTTTTTCCAGCAGGATTTATTGAAGAGACTATCCTTTCCTCACTGTGTGTTCTTGGTACCTTTGCCAAAAATGAATTAACCATAAATGTGTGGATTTATTTCTAGGCTTTCTGTTTTATTCCATTAGTGTATATCCCCATATGTATGGCAGCACCATACTGCTTCAATTACTTTAGCTTTGTAGTATATTTAAAAATCAAGCAGTTTGATATCTCCAGCTTTGTTTTTCTTGCCATTCTTACGACTTTGGCTATTTAGTTTTTTGTGGTTCCATGTGACTTTTAGGATTTGGTTTTTTTTTTTATTTCAGTGAAAAATGCCCTTGAAATTTTGATAGAGATTACATTTCTGGGTAGTATGAACACTTTAACAATATTGATTCCTCTGATCTATGAACAGAGGATATCTTTGCATTTATTTTTGTCTTCCTAAATCTTCATCAATATCAGAATTTTCAATATACAGATATGTCATTCATTTTATTAAATTTATTGCTATGTATTTTATTCTTTTTGAGTGGTATTTTCAATGAATTTTTTTCTTAATTTATTTTTTGGATAGTTTGTTTTTAGTACATAGGAATGCAATCGATTTTTATATGTTGATTTGTATCCTGTGACTTCACTGAATTCATTTATTAGTTCTAACAGTGTTTTGGTGAAGTCTTTAGGATTTTCTTAGTATAAAATCATGTTATCTGCAAACAGAAAAAATTTACTCTATCGTTTCCATTTTGGATGCCTTTTATTTCCTTGTCTTACCTAATTCCTCTAACTAGGACTTCCAGAACAATGTTGAATTGAAGTTGCAAGTGGGGAAATTCTTGTCTTGTTTTTTGATCTTAGAAAAAAAGCTTTCAACATTCAACATTGAGTATGATATTAGCTGTGGGCTTGTTGTGTTGAGGTACATTTCTCCTGTACATAATGTGTTGATAATTTTTTACATGAAAGGATGTTGCTTTTTATCAAATACTTTCTCTGCATATATTGAGATGATCACATGATTTTCATCCTTCATTCTATTAATGTGGTGTATTACATTTATTAATTTGTGTATATTGAACCATCCATGAATTTCAGGAATCAATCCCACTTGATGACAGTATATCAGCCTTTTAATAGTTTGTTGAATTCAGTTTGCTGGTATTCTGTTAAAATTTTTGTATCTATGTTCATGACAGATATTGGCCTGTAAGTGTTTTTAAATTATTTATCTGTCTGGCTTTAGTATCAGGGTAATACTAGCCTTGTGAAATGAGTTTGAAAGTCTTCTTTCCTTTCTTTTTATTTTTGGAAGACTTTGAAAAAAGATTGATATTAATTCTTTATTAAATATCTGGTAGAATTCATCAGTGAAGCTATCAGGTCCCAGGGCAGGGAAAAAAGAAGAGAAAAGAAAAGAAAAGAAAAGAAAAGAAAAGAAAAGAAAAGAAAAGAAAAGAAAAGAAAAGAAAAGAAAAAAGAAAAGAAAAAAAACTCTCAGCTTCCTTCTCAGGCAGGGAAAAGAGGCAAGCAGGGAAAGTCACTCAGCTGTGCTGCTTCATCTGGGATTTAACTGCTTCCTGTTCCTACTTTCAGGACTAATATCTTTCTCTCCTGGCCAGGTTTATTATCCATTTCTCATTTTATTTATTTGTGTCTTCTCTATTTTTTCTTAGTCTAACTAAATGTTTTAAAATTTTACTCATGTTTTCAACAAACTAGCTCTTAGTTTGGTTCATCTTTTCTGTTATTATTCTAATCTCTATTTAACTTATTTCTACTGTAATCTATCTTATTTGCTTCCTTCTGCTAACTTGGGCTTAGTTTTTTTTTTTTTTTTTTTGGTTTCTTCTTTGATCCATTAATTGTTCACGAATGTTCAATTTATTTCTACTTATTTATACATTTTCCTATTTTCCATTTTCATTGCCAACATTTCCATTAAAGCTAATATTATTTAACTCAAGAATATTCTCATATATTCTTACTGGACACCCTGTCTCTATATGTTTTTCTGCTTTTATACTCTAATCTTTGTCCACTTTCCTTAGGGTAAAATATTTACTTCCAGATTTGATTATAGAGTCTGTCATAGTCAAGCCATGACTTGCCCAGTGTCTAGCCACCTCTTTCTCTCTGATCTCGTCACACTCAATCCCCTTCATCTCTTCATTGTTCTTTCTTTTTCGTGTGCATTCAACATATCTCTATGTGGGATGGCCATTTGATGTGCTTCTCTGCTACCTTTTAGTTTGGGTAACTTCTTACTATCATTTTGTTCTTAATGTCAACTTATTATTTCCTGGTAAAAACCTTCTCTGAAACTCCAAATTAACCTATAGGGCTTTTGGGTATCAGCACCTGTTTTTTCCCTATTATAGCATTTATCACTCTCTGTTTTAATAGTTGCTTAATGGTATATCTGTGGTTATACTAAAAACACAAGGAAGACAATGTCCATTCCTGCATTCATTACTATTATAATGTCTGGAACAATATAGTTTCAATAAACATTTGTTGAACAGATGGATACCTTAGTCACAAGTGGATGAATAAATAAATGTTTTCTTTTCATTAATCTGTACAGAATTATCTAAAATACACATATAAGTATACATGTGAGATTAGTGTAATGAGTATTATACTGATTTATGTATTAAAATGAAATGGAAAACCTTATATGTCTGAGGTATTCTTCTATGTGCTGCAGAAAAAAAAATGAGAGAGGTAATTTATCTCCTCCCAGAATATAAATATTGATTATTAAATGCTGATCAATAACATGCTTATGAAACAGTATATTTTACTCTTCCAAGACTGAGCCAGGAAAAAATTGAATTCCTGAACAGACCAATAACAAACTCCAAAACTCAATTAGTAATAAAAAGCTTAGCATCCAAAAAAAGCACAGAACCAGAAAAATTCAGAGATGAATTCTATCAGACATACAAAGAAGAGCTGGTACCATTCCTGCTGAAACTATTCCAAAAAACTGAGGAGGAAGCTTTCCTCTCTAACTCATTTTATGAGGCCAGCATAATACTGATACCAAAACTTGGCCAAGACACACACAAAAAAGAAAACTTCAGGCCAATTTCCTTGATGAACATCAATGCAAAAATCCTCAAAATAATACTGGCAAACCGAATCCAGCAGTATATCAAAAAGCTTATCCACCACAATCAAGTGGGCTTTATCCATGGGATGAAAGATTGGTTCAATATACGTCAATCAATAAATGTGATTTATCACATAAACAGAACTAAAGACAAAAACCACATGATTATCTCAATAAATGCAGAAGAGACTTTCAATACAATTCAACATCCCTTCATGTTAAAAATTCTCAAAAACTAAGTATTAAAGGGACGTAATACAAAGTAATAAGAGTCATCTATGACAAAACCACAGCCAACATCATACTGAAAGGGAAAAAGCTGGAAGCATTCCTCTTGAAAACCAACACAAGACAAGGATGCCCTCTTGGAAGTCCTAGCCAAAGCAATCAGGCAAGAGAAAGAAATAAAGGGTATCCAAATAAGAACAGAGGAAGTCAAAGTATCCTTGTTTGAAGACCACATGACTCTCTATCTAGAAAACTTCATAGTCTCCGCCCAAAATTTTTTCAGCTGATAAACAATCAACAGTTTCAGGATACAAAATCAATGTACAAAAATCACTAGCATTCTTATACACTAACAACAGCCAAGCCAAGAAAAAATCAAGAAGGCAGTCCTATTCACAATTGCCACAGAAAGAATAAAATACGGAGGCATACAGCTAACCAGGGAGGTGAAAGATATCTACAATGAGAATTACAGAACACTGCTCAAAGAAATGAGAGAAGACACAAACAAATGGAAAAACACTCCATGCACATGGATAAGAAGAATCAATATCATGAAAATGCCCATACTGCCCAAAGCATTCTATAGATCCAGTGCTGCTCCTTTCAAACTACCAACAACATTCTTCACAAAACTAGAAAAATAAAAACTATTTTAAAATAGTTTGGAACCAAAAAAGAGCCTGAATAGCCATGACTATACTAAGCAAAAACAACAAAACTGGAGGCATCATGTTACTTGACTTCAAACTATATTACAAGACTACCATAACCAAAGCAGCATGGTACTTGTACTAAAACAGGGACATGGATAAATGGAACAGAATAGAGAGCTGATATATAAGATGATATACCTATGACCATGTAATCTTTGACAAAGCTGACAAAAACAACCAATGGGGAAAAGACTCCCTATTCCATAAATGGTGCTGGGAAAACTGGCTAGCCATATGCAGAAAATGTTCGTTGCAGCACTATTCACAATAGCAAACACATGGAATCAACTTAAATGCCCATCAATGGTACGCTGGATAAAGAAAACATGGTATACATACACTATGAAATACTATGCAGCCATAACAAAGAATGAGATCATGTCCTTTGCAGGTACATGGATGGAGCTGGTTGCCATTATCCTTAGCAAACTAATGCAAGAACGGAAAACCAAATACAACATGTTCTCACTTATAAGTAGGAATTAAATAATGAGAACACATGGATACATAGAGGGGAACAGACACTGGGTTCTATTGTAGTGTGGAGAGTGGGAGGAGGGAGAGACTCAGGAAAGATAACTAATGAAGTACTGGGCCTAATACCTGGGTAAAGAAGTAGTCTGTACAACAAACCCCCACGACATGAGTTTGACTATTTCATGGGAGTTTCCATGGTTGGTAACTCCTTTCTGTTAACCACTGAATAATAGTCTATTGTTGGAATGTACTAAGGCATGTTATCCATTCCCTTGATTAAGCACATTTTGGTTGCTTCCAGGTTTTGGCAATTATGTTGCCAAACATCTGTCAACATCAGTTTGCATGTTTTTGCATGGATATAAGTTTTCTACTCTTTTGGGTAAATGCAAAGGAGCACATTTGCTGTACTGTATGGTAGAAATATATTTAGTTCTGTAAGAAAGTGTTTTGTCTTCCAAAGTAGCCACACAATTTTGCATTCCCACCATCAGTGAATGAAGCTTGCTATTTCTCCACATCCTTGCCAGCATCTGACACTGTTTGTGTTTTGAATTTAGACAATTATTATAGGTATGTAGTGGTATCTCATTGTTTTAATTTATAATCTCCTAATGATATATGATGTTGAAAACACAGAAGCATCTTTTCACATGTTTATTTTTCATCTGTGTGTCTTTTTGGTGAAGTGTTTTTTTATGTCTTCAGCCCATTTTTTAATCAGTTTGTTTTTACATTGATGAGATGCAAGAATTCTTTGTATACTTTGGATAGCAGCCCTTCGCCAGTCATGTTTCTTGCAATCATTTTCTCTCAGTCTATTGCTTTCCTTCTCATTCTGCTGACAGTGTGTTTCAAAGACTAGAAGTTTTAATTTTAATAAAGTTCAATTTTTCAATTATTTCTTTCATGTATCCTACCTTTAGTGTTGTATCTAAAAAGTTATCAGCATATTCATCATTTAAATTTTCTCCATGTTATCTCCTAGGAGCTTTACATTTACGTTTTATATTTAGGTATGAGATCCCTTTTGAGTTAATTTTTTTGTGAAGTGTGTAAGGTCTGTATCTAGATTTATTTCTTTTTCTGCATGTGCATATCCAGTTGTTTCAGCACCATTTGTTGAAAGGCCCATCTTCTCTCCATTACATTGCCTTTGATCCTTGTCAAAAATAAGTTGATTATATTTGTGCAGATCTATTTCTAAACTCTCTAATATTTTCCACTGATCTTTCTGTCAATTATTTTGCCAATGTTACACTGTTTAATTACTGTAGGTTTCTTTTATTTTTTGAGATGGAGTCTCGCTGTGTCACCCCAGGCTGGAGTGCAGTGGTGTGATTTCGGCTCACTGCAAGCTCTGCCTCGTGGGTTCACACCACTCCTGCCTCAGCCTCCTGAGTAGCTGGGACTACAGGCCCCCACCACCATGCCCGGCTATTTTTTTTTTTTTTTTTGTATTTTTAGTAGAGATGGTGTTTCACCGTGTTAGCCAGGATGGTCTCGATCTTCTGACCTCATGATCCGCCCGCCTCAGCCTCCCAAAGTGCTGGGATTACAGGCGTGAGCCACCATGCCTGGCCTAATTACTGTAGGTTTCTAATAAGCCTTTAAGTAAAATAATGTCAGTCCTTCAAATTTGTTCTCCTTCAATATTGCATTTCTGTTCTGGTACTTTTACTTGTATGTTAACTTTAGAATCAGCTTATTGATATCCACAAAATAACTTGCTGGAATTTTTATTTGGATTGTTTTGAATCTAAAATTCAAATTAGAAAAAAGTGACATACTGAAAACATTGAGTTTTTCTATCCACTAACATGAAATGCCTCTCCATTTAATTTTTCTTTAGTTTTTAAAATCAGAGTTCTGTAAATTTTCTCACATAGACTTTGCACACATTTTTAGATTTATATTAAGTACTTCATTTTGAGAGAGCAGGTATTTTCAATGGTAATGTGTTTTTAATTTCAAATCCCATTTGTTTATTATTGTTATATAGGAAAGCAGTTGACTAATTTTTATTGTGGTAATAAAACACATAACATTACATTATTAAATGTATTTTGTTAATATTTTTAGTATATAGTTCAATAGTGTTTATTATTACATGGTTGCATAGCAAATTGCTACAACTTTTTCATCTTACAAAACTGAAACTCTATACCCACTAAATACTAATTCCTCTTACACCCTCCATCACCCAGTTCCCACTCATGACAAAAACCTTTCCACTTTCTGCCTCTGTGATCTTTATTTCTTTCAATACTTCATATGAATGGAATCATTCAGTACTTGACTTTTTGTGACTGGCTTATTTCACTTAGCATAACGTTCTGGAGGTTCATCCATATGGTAGTATGTGACAGAATTTTTTTCTTTTTTAGGGCTGAATAACATAACTTTGTGTGTATATATCATGTTTCTTCATCTATTCATCTGTCAGTGAACATTTGGGTTGCTTCTACCTCTTGGCCATTGTGAATAATGCTGAGATGAACATGAGTGTGCAAATATTTCTGTGAGATCCTACTTTAAATTCTTTTGGATATATGACTAGAAGTGGGATTTCCATATCACATGCTAATTCCATTTTCTAATTTTTTGAGGAAACTTCATATTCTTTTCATAGTACTTGAATTAATTTAAATTCCCACCAACAGTGTGCAAGTGTTTCAATTTCTCCACGTTTTAACACTTGTAATTTTCTGTAATTTTTATACTGACAATTTATTTCTAAAATTGGTATTTTCTTAATTTCTTTTGCTGATTGGTCTTTGTTAGTGTACAGAAACACTTAATATTTCGTCTGTTAATTTTGTATCCTGAAACATTGCTGAAATTGTTTGTTGTAACAGTTTTTCGTGGATTTTTTTTAGGTTTTTCTACATACTAAATTATATCATCTGCACACAGATATAATTTTACATTTCCTTGTCCAATTTGTATGCTTTTTATTTATTTTCCTTTTTCTTTATTTTTCTTCTCTGCATAGGATTGATAGTTTGCAATGTTTTTATCATGAATAGTGTGGATTTTGTGAAATGGTTTTTCTGTGTCTATTAATATGATCATATGATTTTTTTTCTTTGGCCTGTTGATGTGATGAATTAAATGAATTCGTTTTCAAATGTTGAAATTTCCTCGCATACCTGAGAAAAATTCCATTTGGTCATGGTTTTCAATTATGTATACATTATTAGATTTGATTTACTAAAATGTTGTTGACAATTTTGCATCTATGTACGGGAGATATTAGTCTCTAATTTCCTTTTTTTAAGAATGTCTTCATCTGATTTTGGTATTACGGTGATCCTCTTCTTATAGAATGGGTTAAGAAGTGCTCTCTCTGCTTTTATCTTCTGAACAAGATTGCAGAGAATTAGTAAAATTTCTTCCCTAAATGTTTCCTGGAATGCACCTGTGAATCCGTATGAGCCTGGTGATTTCTGTTTTGAAGGGCATTTATTATTGATTCTATTTCATTAGTAGATATAGGCTATCCAGAGTGTCTACTTCTTTTTGTGTCACTTTTGGTAGATTGTGTCTTTCAGGGAATAGGTAGATGTCATCTAGGTTAACGAATGTGTTGACACAGTACAGCTATTTCAAATATTCTTTTATTATCTTTTTAATATCCATGAGATCTTCAGTAATATACCCTCTTTCATTTATGATATTGGTAATTGCTCCCTTCTCTTTTTATCTTAGTTAGCCTGGCTAGAGATTTATTAATTTTATTGATCTTAATGAATCAGACTTTAGTGTCATTGATTTTCTCTATTGATTTTTTAATTTTCATTTTTATTGATTTCTGATCTACAGTTTATTATGTCTTTCATTCTGCATACTTTAGATCTAATTTGTTCTTTTTCTTTCCAGTTTTCTACGGTGTAACCTTAGACTGTTAATTTAAGATCATTCTTCTTTTATAAATTCTTCTTTTATAAATCTACAAATTCCCTCTAAGTATGCTTTTGTTATTTCCCATGAATTTAGTTGTGTTTTCATTTTGATTTAATTCAAAATATGTATTAATTTGTCCTGAGATTTCTTCTTTGACTCATGTGTTATTTAGAAGTGTGTTGCTTAATCTCTAAGTATTTTGGAATTTTCCAACTATCATTTTTATTGATTTCTAGTTTAATTCCATTGTGATTTCAGAGTAGGCATTGAATAATTTATATTATTTTAATTCTGTGAAGCTGTTTCCATGGTCCAGAATATGGTCTATTTTGATGATTATTTAATGTGACCTTGAGAATAATATGTATTCTACTGTGTTAGATAAAGTAGTCTACAGATATCAATTTTATCGAGTTGGTTTATCATGCTATTGAGTTCAACCATGTTGTTACTGAAAGTCTGACTATGTTACACCTTTTAAAGTTGTCTATGGTTCTTAGATACTTTGTTCTTTTTTTCTTCTTTGCTTTTCAATTTTGGAAGTTCCTACTGACATCTTCAAGTTCAGAGATTCCTTCCTCACTCATGTTCAGTGTACTAATGCCCATCAAAGGCTTTCTTTGTTTCTGTGTTTTTTATCTCTAGCCGTTTTTTAAAATTCTTTCTTAGAGTTTTCATTTCTCTTTCTGCACTATTTATCTGTTATCACGTTGTCTACTTTGTACATTAGAGCCCTTATTAATCTTAGTATTTTTAAATTGATGGTCTGATAATTCCGACATCCCTGCCATTTTTGAGACTGGTTCTGAATCTTGCTCTTTCTTTAAACTGTGTTTAAATTGCCTTGCAATTTTTTTCTGGATATCCTGACATGAAGGAGGGCACAGGGAACTGCAGTAAATAAGTCTTTAGGGATGTGGTGGTGAAGTGGAGAGAAGGGGCTGTTTTGTAGTCCTATAATTAACTTGCAGTCTTTTTAGTGAGCCTATGCCCCTGAACCATAAAATTCATCAGTGCTTCTCAGTCCTCCTCCCACTCAAAAGTAGGACCAGATGGCTGAGGCGGAGGGGGTGGCTAGAGTTGTGTATTTCCCTTCTCTCATTTGAAAGGCTAGAACAGGCTGAATTTGACTATTTCCTTTCACCCATGTGAAAGCTAGAGAGGGCTGGATTTGCTTTATGTACTTCCTCAGGTCAGCTGGGCTCTGATAAAATCGCAATAGGTTACGCTCTGGTGAAATATTTTCTCTTGAGGGCAGGCCTCGTTAAGAAGAATAGAATGCTCTGGGGTATTTAAAAGTGAGTACATTTTTACCATGCTGGAAACACCAGGGAATTTTCTCGCATCTGCACTGTAAAAACCTGATAGAGAGCTCTAAGAAGTAAAGCTCACAAAAGTGTCAGGGCCCTCCTATTACTTGGTTCCATAGAGTTTTCAACTCTCCAACTTTTCCAATCTAAGCCTCCAGCAACTCATCAATTACAGTTCAGTTTTCCCTACTATGTCATTGGTTTCTAAGGATGTTTTTGATTATGGGTTTCTGTCCTGGTAAGTTGTAATTTTTTGCATCCACTTGTCTGTCTCTCCATTTTGGGGTTTAGTGGTTTGCCCTGTGACCTCATTTCTGTGATGACTCTAAGAAGAGTTGTTGCTTTTACGGTTTGTTCCGTTTTTTACTTACTGTTAGAACAAAGACTTTCAAATTTCCTACATGCTAAACTGAAAACTAGAAGTCCATATTGTTATTTGAAAGGAAAAAAAAAATTTCATATCCAAGTAGGAGAATAAAACTTTGAAAGCAATTCTGAATCCAATTCTACAGTGTACTATTGGCTTCTCTCAGTTCAGACTAGAACCTTTTTCATGAAATTTTTTATTTCACTGGTTTTCTTTTCCATTTCCATGACCTCCACAAGGCACCTTGTTTTTGCTGGGTTCTATTACCTGTTATTGCCTCTTCACTTCTTGAGTGAACAGGGTAGACTTCAGTCGCCTGCTTAAATATTAATTTCTCCAGTCTTTGAGCCAGTTTACATATTGATGCATCTTGCCCTCTCTACCATTATGAAGATACCTGAAATTACTGTGAGCTTGCTGAAAATTTCAGCTTAAAATAATTTTTCTTTAGCAATTGCCTGTTTTTCTGAGTTAGAATGAACAGCATGAATCTTTGAAATTGAAGAACATGACATGCATACTTTATAGTGTTTTGGTAAAGCTCTCTAACTCATCTTCATTTTGTCTACATGACAGGCTTTTACCTTGAAAAGATGTCCACAAACTCTGCTTGTTCACAAAAATTCAGTAAAATCTTGACATCAAGTTTATTTCTTTCTATGTAAGTACATATCTCAAGAAGAAGTCCCTAAGGAGCGCATTACCCCATTTCTCACCAGATCTCCTTTAAACTGGAGTCTCTCTCTCTCTCTCTGTCTCTCTCTCTCTCTCCAGTTAATGATACAATTATTCTATTTTGCTTTGCAAGGCATAGCCTATTATCAAACAACAACAACAAAAAAAGTGACTACTCTCTCTTACCTTGTTTAGGCATCTCCTATAGGACCTCTGAATGATTTGCTTGTGCTTATTTATATGCTTTTCTCTCAATAAATTTTGAATTACAGAGAGAACAGCAAATATCACTTTCTAATCATTTTTATTTTAATGGTCTCTGGCATAATTTTGTTGAATGAAGGACTTGAGTAACAGTTTTGTGACTTTGAGCAGGATATTTCACCATATCAATCCTTATTTTTTTTCATTGTCAACTAAGGACAAAAATGCCTCCTTGTCTTATCTCATAGAGTTTAAGGATTAAATAAAATAAATCATGGGAAGATACTATGTGAACTATAAACTGTCATACAGATGTGAGTGTTATAAGAATAAGAGAAGCATGTACATATATTCAAATTATCTATCTCCTTACTTTCCCTTTCTTTGCCAGGAGGACGCATAACTAAGCTGTCAAAATTGAAATAAATACAAAAAGTTTAACTAGGAAGATTAAGTGATGAAACAAAATTAAGTTACGTACCTAATAGTAGGTAGATACATTATGGTTCCATTATTTTAAGTTATATGCATTTAGAGGAATGTATGGAAAGATGTTCAAGTCAGTATACTTTCAGAAGAGCTTTGCATTCTTTTTTTACTTTTTTGTATTTTTTTACAGTGAGCATTTATTATTTTTACAGATACAGAAGAGTAAGTTTCAGAAAAAGAAAAGTTAAAGAAAAGGTAGGCTTGCTTTGATGCTTTCCTTTGCCACTTCTCACCTGCTCATCTAAAGTCTGCATTGTACTTAACCTCAATATGTTATAAAATACTCTTGTAAAGATACCAATGGTTACTTGGTTGCTAAATGCAATACATTCTTAACCTCTTTCAATTTACCAGACACCCCTGAGCTATTTCTCCAAATCGTTTTTCTCCTTTGTTCTCAGGGACATGTCTTTTTCTTTGTAGTTTTGCTTGTTCATATGATAATTGACTGCCCTCTCTTTCGCTGACATTTCTTCCTTGGTGCTGTTAAAATATAATTTTCAGAAAAGGAAAAAATTGTAACTCTCATACAGATTTAAAATAAACACATTTTAATATCTACTCATTTAATGTGGTTGCCAGACACATGTTATAACTGGTTCAAAGAGGACTGTATAAGCAGGCACATTTATAGATCAGGAATGTTGAAAGAAATATGTAAAGGGTGGCAAAACTGGTCTTAATACAGACTGGAAAGGAAGTGTGTTGAACCTCTACTATGCAAGACATAATTCAAAGGTCTACTAGAGACCTACCACTTATAGAGTTGAAAATTAGCTCAGTCAATAAAAAGCTAGAATTAAGTAATGCTTGGAAGACTTTCCTGTATGGGGCAATGCAGTTTTCTGCTGAGAAGTGCTCCCCCACCCACACATATACAGTCTCCATTCAAATAGCATTGTTTCCCTAAATTCTGATCTTTTCTTCAGTCATTCTACATACACCCTCTGCTTATTAATACTTACTTTAGATATGTTGATAAATTGCCCAGATTTTTTTTAGAAGCACATAAGGACTGGCTTAGTAGTCATTCAATTTCTTACGTTAATTTTAATTACAATAATAAGACCTTACACTTGCATAGCAATTTGTGCTTTTTCAAGTTCTGTCACATCCCTTACCTCATTTAATCCTCACATAAACCTATCCCTATAAGAAGTTAGCATTTGGCAAGTTAGGAAACCCATTTTACAGATTAATGTTTTGCTTAAAATATTAAGTGACTTATCCTTGGTATTAGTAATATATTGAGGTTTTAACTCAGATCTTATTTTTTGTATCTTTTGTTTTCTAATATTCTGAGAAATGAACATTAAGTGAGATTGGGTTGTAGGTATTTAAAGAATTTTTTTTCCAGATTATACTAATATGGTTGGCAGCTATAGCTGAGAGCTACTTCTCATAAAGACTTGAGAATTAAGGAGTCAGTGAAAGATTCGTAACAACCTCTTTCTCTGAACTGAACCCAGTTCAGTGTTCCACTGAACTATTTCATAACAACCCATTTATTCATAACAATTCTTTGTAGTATTGCACAGTGACATCAACAAAGACTATAATTCAAAGAACAATAGTGCAGCTATTTCATTAGGAAATTTGAATAAGTGAAAGAAGCCAAGCACAGGATGACTAATGTCATATAATTTCACTTATATGTGGATTTTTAAAAAGTCGACCTCATAGAAGCAGAGAGTAGAATGGTGGGGTGGGATTATGGTGTTGGAGAGATGCTGGCGAAATAATATAAACCTTCAGTTAAGACAGGAAGAATACGTTCAATAGATATACAACATAATGGCTATAGTTAGTAGCAATGTATTGTATTCTTGAAAATTGCTAAGAGAGTAGGTTTTAAGTGAGCTCACCACACACACACACAAAGATAAGTATATAAGGTAATGCATATGTAAATTATCTCAGTTTAGCATTCCACAATGCATGCATATTTCAAAACCATATGTTGTACATGGTAAATATGTACAATTTTTATTTTTCAATGAAAAATAATTAAATATTATCTTATAAAAAGAGTACATGCCCTGTAGTTTAGAAAAAAATGTATTATTCTGCATCTGTGATTTATAAAAACGCAGTAGTAATGTCTGTCTGTGTTTTACAAAGCATTGCAAGGCCATTCACATATCAAAATGAAACTACCTAATTATCTTGTATCATTTGTATTCTTAATATAAATGTTAATATAGTGGTCTTTGGATGGTAGCCATTATCCCTACACATTGATTTATTTAAACAGTATTTTAGCAAGAAGAATCAGTGCCAGAAAATAAACCTTTTATATATACAGTAAAAAAAAGTAATATTCATTTGTTTTCTATCTCTAAATAACCACTACAAGGGGATATGTATGCTCTGCTTCATCATTTCAATGGTTTAGCATATTAATCTTGAAAATCCCATTATCGCCTATTATTGCAAATTAGAGGAAGTTTTTAAATAATACCTGATGTGTTCAGTTGCTATTAGAAAGTGTGTTGTATGCACACAAAATATGCATATTTTATTTTTTGACAATGTGAAAATACACTGTGTTCAATATTTAAGACAATAATAACATCTTCCTTTCCTATTTTCTAGGCACGTAAAGCCGTAATCTCTTATCTTTTCTAAGATGGTGGTATCAGAATGCATTACCCTCCTTCTGAAAAGTCATGATATCCTAAAACTGCATGAATACACTTTAGAAAAACGCTGCAGTTCTCGATAGCTGCTTGCCTTGTGTCTAGAATGTAACAGTATGCTGCCTGTTTACCTCAGGCCAAAGTTGTCATTTTCACTATCTGGGCCACTACATTTCCTCTGGCTAGAGGCCTGTCTTGTATGTACTAGGGACTTCTGTTAATGCTGGTGTGTGCAGTTACTCTACACTGAATTGGATTTTTGTCATCTATTTGAGGATTACATGCATGATATGCCTAGTCATTTTTTTCTTCATTATGTTACACCAAATCTGAACTGAAAACCCTCCACATTGTAATGTGTGAGGCCCAATTATTCAGATAGCAAACAGCAATTATATATAGATGTAGGTATTGATAAGGAAATGTAAAATTCAGGGAACTTTCAGGCTAGGTCACAAATTAATAAATTCCAGGGAATTCAAGATCAATGAGAGATTAATATTTACATGAATAGTATTGTTTTTTGGAAACAAACATGTTTCACCTTGATTTATGTTGCTAAAATGTGCCTATGGACTTGAAGATTATACAATGGCTAAGTTGAGTTAGGTGAAGCACCATGCATTTGGCAAAGTGTGCTCATTAACGTCCTCATCCTGAATTGCTTGTAACACTGTCACTCTCTGGATAAGTAAATGGAAGCACAGGCAGGCAAGCAATGGCTAAGAAGCAGGATGCCCATGTCAAACTCTCTCCCTCAAAGTAAAGGGGAAGCAAGTGGTTTAAGTAAGGAGTCCAAATGAAGACAGATTTACTTAAGTGTAAAATGTGAATTCTGAACTAGATGAACATAAAGCCCTGTTCAGCTTTGTGAATCTACGTTTCTATGATTATCTTGAGTTATTAAAAGTAAATTATGGTAGATCATAATTAATAAAGGGCCATCTGTAACACGAAATCCTCCTTTTTAATTGGGCTGGGTGAGTTGCCCAAGATATTTATTTTAGGGGAGATAGGAGATGTGGAAGAAACTGAAAACTGCTCTATCCCCTCTCCAGGCACAGTTTCTCAAACTTAGCTGCAAATAAAAAATAGAAGGCCTGATTTTATTCAGTGCTAAATTAGGGTGTTGATATAAGATTAGGTGACTAGTAATGCAAAAGTGTGAATAAAGTAAAAGACCTTCCTAATTGTATGATTTACAATATTTAACAATCAAATTACCAGCAAGTAATTTTTCTGGAGGAGATTAAAAGCTAATTCTATTTGCCATTACTGAATGAGTGCTGATACAGGCCAACCACTATTTTAATATTTTACAAGACTTACTTATTTAATCTTCATAACAATCTGATAGAATAGACATAATTATTATTCCCATTTTATAAATGAGCAAAGTTTTGCCCAGAAAGATAACATTACCAAGATCGCACAAGCAGAAGTGAGAGAGTCAGGTATTACAAGCAGATGCATTGCTTAAATATTAGCTCCTCACTTCTGACAGTTGATCTGATACCCTTTGGATGGCCTAGCATCTGGTGGACCAGGCATATCAATTCAGCGAGTGCGGTTTTCTGCCTAGATATTGTCTGTAGTGTAGAGGAGAAGACAAACTTGCCTGGAGGCTTTCTTCTAGAATCAGTAGCAATTTCTTATCCACAAAAAAGAGAGACTACTCATTCCTGGCCATGGAGATGAGAAAGTGTGCATCTTAGCCTCTACCACTGACAGTAAAAGATAACCCGATATCCAGAAACATGAGAAAAACAACCTTGAGCATATTCCATCATAAACATTTCACTGCCTTTAATTTGAAACTTTTTAAGCTACTTGAGTATTGTCATCACCCTTTCAACCCCACTTCCTCCACCTTAGTGGGAACTACATAGTCTAGCATGGCATAAAAATCAAGTTTTAATAGCAGGTAGAATTGCAGATTCCAGATTTGCCCATCAACTTGCCAGAGCTGCTGAATAGTTTATGACTCACACTGAGTTACACATCTTGGCCACCGCTTTATATATTCTAATCTTGAATCTATTAACATTCTCTTTTTCTGGACTGGCCTAAAATGCCTGCCATCTGAATTATATTTTTAGGTTCAACAGCAAAGTTTTACTCTGTTAAAAAAATACTTATTGAGAACCCATGGCTTGTGTAAAACAATGCTTAATGAAAAGGTATATAGAGATAAATAACTACATTTAAGTTCTCAGTGAATTTACAGTACAATGTCTTATCTCCACTCTACCACTGTTAACACACATCCATTATTTGGGGACAATAACAACAGCAGCCACAACACAACAGTAACTGTTAAGTATGTATTAAGAATTTACTATGAGCTAGATATTATTACAAATATTTTGCAAAATTTATCTTGATAAATTTTCATAATAACCAAATAAATATGTTGTATTACCCTGATTTTATAAATGAGGCATCAGAAAGATGTGGCTATAAGTAAATAAAATAAATTTAAATAAATAAAATTTAAAATAATAAATGAGGAAACTCAGGAACAGAAAAATTGGATAATTTGGCCAAGATCACCAGCCCAAACTCCTAAACACTGAGGAAAATAGTAGCATGGCCAGGGAGAGAGGAGTATGTTTTCATAATCTTAGAATCACGTAGAAACCAAGATTCAGTTTTTAAATATGAGAACGCTCACTTTGGAAATTCTAAGAGAGTGGTGTGGAGGGCTAGAGATATAGCGTAACCATGTCTTAGCTAAGTAAAGGGGTTAGTTCAGACTTGAGTATCATGAAAGGAATAAACTGCAAGGTGCACTGAAGACTTGCCTGTGTGGGCAAGTGGAATGAGCACGTAGCTAGTTTTTTGGACAGTCCAAGGCACCTTGGGAGCAATTGACAAAGATTACTTTTCTATACACACCTAATGTTTTAGCTTATTTGTAATGCTGTCTTTTAACATTTCTCCTGTACTGCCTCTCGGGACTACATTTTAAAATTTAGAAAATAAAATAAATCACTATTCACAATGAACAGCCCTATAAAATCCACTCTTTGAGTTCACTTTTTCCTCTGATTGTTCTTGCTGACCTTGGGATACTCTTACATGACTAGTTTTGAGTTTGATGGTTGGGTCCGTAAATGCACCACGAAGTCAGTTCTTGCACATTGTACACATTTTCAAATAAAATGTTCAGCTCTGCTTGGCAGTGCTGTTGTTTCTGGTGTGCTTATCTCCTTCAGCAAGAAACAGGTGAGTTTGCATTTACCCCTATGTCAGGAATTACATGTGGATGTTTGAGATAAATGGCACCATAGCTTTGATCTCCACCTCCTTCCAGTGGCAGACTGAGCAACTGGCTAACCTCTATCTGCACCCGGTTCCTTACCCTGTGAATTTCTAACAAACACTAAAGCCTTATTTTATAGAGGTTCATGTGCTCTACTTTGTACAACATATGTGGCAAATAGTTTTTTGTTTTACTAATAACTTTACTCAACTTATTAGTTTTAAGTAGATGGAAAGCAACATGTCAATCATGTGGAAATAGTCATGTGATTTGATAAGTCAACCAGTCATGTTGACCTGCTGAATCATTTTTTTAGGATATTTTATTAAATTATAGTACAAGTGGTTCTCATTTTTCCACTGTTTTTAATCAGGTCAAACCCCAAAATCTTTTAAGAAACATAAAAAATAAGTATACACATTTAATTATCATTTTATGTCACCTGAGACCTGCAATTTTTTAAATTTCCCAGTATTCATTGAATGTGTCACCATGGAATCAGAGAAAATTATTAAATTAAGCATCTTATTAGTTACAAATGTGTCTAGAATTCACGGCAAATATAATTTTAGGTTTGAAATCACAGTGATGCTGAAGACAGCATTATTCCTCCTTCACCTTCATCTGAAAATAGATTGCTTCAGGGAGTTTGAAGAATAAAATATGGAAAAATGTGTTGTGTCAATTTCCACAAGATAAGCAAGGATATTAAATGTAGCCTGATTTGAGTAATAAATCTTTTTTGTACTTAACAAAATGCATCTTCCTTGTTAGGATCCTTCAAGTTTTCTTCTGGCCATTTCCTAAATCTACTTCTTATAATGTATGAATTGAGAATGCTGAAATCTCCAAATAGACCATTAAAAGACATACATTGAAAATAAATGGCCTTGAAATATTTGGATTAAAACTTAAATCTCCCATAGTAAATTAAATTATTCCTCCGATCTTCACATTGCTTTCGGTAATTGAATCTCATAGAATAGAAGTTGATTGTGGCAATATATGGGCATTGGAACAATATGTAAAAAGCAATAAAACTAAAAATTAATCCACCTTCATATTTGGAAGTCTGTAGAAACAGACAAGGAGTTCGCTAAGTCACAAAAATTAACTCAAATGAGTCAGAGACAAATATTATGTTCCAAGAATAATACCACGATGCAGAGGAAAATATAGATAGAAACTCTGTCAGAAACAAACTTTTAAATTCTTGTTATTTACAGTGTTTCCTGTGAACTAAGAATCAAAGATGTAGTGTTTCTAAATGTTCTCCATCCCTCCAGATACCAATCTTCAGGACTGGGAACAAGAAATTAGACAGAAATTGGGAATTTCTGCAACCATGTTATTCTGAAAATACGCCCAAGATTTCTCAGATTCTTTACAAATTGTTATGAATATCTTTTTTCAATGTCTAATAAATACAAAATTTTGAGTGTAGTGGTATTTACAAGGACCTGTAGTGTAGGGTGAATATTTAAATACTGGAAATCACCAGTAATCCTTATTGGGCAGTATTTGCATAATGTAACATTAGGATCATCTAAGCAAGTTAAACGGCTCTAACACAGTATCACGTGTTTAACTCGCTATATTAAGGTCTTATTTTGTTTCCTAAACTTGCATTTTTGGTCACCTTATGTGCAAGAATTACTCATTAGCTGAAGATAGGACCATAAACATCTGCTTATAACATGGCAAGAGCTACAGGTAAGACTGAGGAAATCATGATCATTTCTCTCCTGCCAACTCACGAAAATGGTCACTTTAACCTTAGACCTTGCATGTCAGCTTTGCTTCCTCCAAACCAGTTAAGTCTCTGTTAATATTCAAGCTTTAATGCTCGCAGAATAATCATTGTCCTGATTTCTCAACTAATTTTTTCTTGACATCAAAAATTGAGAAAAAAATACAAATTTCCTAAAAAATAGAAAAATCTACATGGAGATATTAAAAGATAATATACATTTTTTACAGTATAACTCTGATATTAGGATTGTTGGGATTATGGGTTTAGTTTTTATTTAATATTATTTGGTAATATTATATCAACTTTGCAATAGTAAAGGCTTGCCCTTACTGAGATACTCTTAAAAATTGTTTAAAAAACTATAAGGCTATTTATTGAGATAGTAAATTATAAATATTGATATATGCTGCATGAAATGAGGTTCAGGCAAAATTTAAGTGAGTGATTACATTACCTCAAACATAGCTCTTTCTTACATTAAAGATCTTTCTTACATTAAAGATCTCCCAGCCAATCAATCCTTGTGGCTCTGTCCTTTTACCCTTTAAGAACTGCCATAAAGGATAAGAGGAAGCCTGAATTTACTGCTTCAACCTGTAGTGATTTTCTACCCTAAATCTTATATCCTTTTGGGACTCATATCTTTAGCCATTAAAACAACAACAACAACAACAACAAAAACCTCAGAATGTCCACTTTTTCAGACGATTTTAACTAACCAATAACCTACCAAGATATTACAAAATGGCAGGGACCTACATTAAACTCCTGTGATGTTTTGCTGCATGTGCTGCAATCCCCTAATGTAGATGTAAAATAAAAACTCAGTAAGGATTAGTCAATAGAGTCAGATTGTCTGATAAAATAGACTATAGTTTTCTTGATAATTTGCACAGTGTTTTTAATGATTTCATAAAATTTTGACTTAGAAAAAAATAAGGGCTCTACTTACTGAATTAAACAGAATCTCAATTTAATTGGCTGCCCATCAGATGACCTCCTTCTTAGTCTCATCCTTGTTCCTGTTCTAATATGAAATTCCTGCCAGTATTTTCTTGAACATGTTCTTTTTTATCCTCTGAAATCTGTATGCCTCCACCTTTAAACTGGAGATTTCAAAAAAAGTCTTCCTTTCTCTGTTATCATAAGTTTTTAAGAATTGCAAAGTACCCAGATTGCCTCTATATTAAAGTAAAATATAAATTTCATGTCATAGAGCCATACAAAAATGACAGTCATTTAGTTGTTTAGTTGCTCTGGTAGCTTACAATGCGTTGGTTCTCACTGTATCTCAATGAGTTACATAGGCTTCACTTTTAGTATACATGATTGACTGTGGGGCTTAATATTGAATAAAATAGCTGCTATAGATGCTCAAAATAGGCATAATCAAAGGTTTTTACTCTCTGTGGCATGTGTCATGTTAGAACGGAATTTTCACTGGAAGGTAGTATGCCCTTGCAGAGAAATCTTAGTCCCGGGTAAAAAGTGGGAAGAAACACCAATGGATCTATAGCACATCTCTAGCCATAAGCATTTCTCTCCTTTTTTTGGAATCAGGACATAAATTGTCAATTTATGTTGTCTAAACTAATGTATTCTTCTTTCTCAATCATGTATTCACTTAAAAAATACACAAGGACATAATGACCAGTCTTTTTTCACCCATTATGTAAATGTAGACATAATTTTTATAGGGACAACTGGAAGATCATCTTTGTGAGAGACAGAGACAGACCTTGGAGCAAAACCTCAAGATAATGTTCCTCCAACAGCACCATAAAACAGCTATCTATCTGACCTACTCACAAAAGAGGTCTTTTACTGCATCCTTTGCCAAACTGTATACTCTCACCTAGGTTTTTAAAACTTTCCTGAAATTGAATAGCTACGATTATATTTACACTATTTACCTCACATTGTTGTTAGAATCGAATCATCCAATAAGTAGGGAGGTGTTTTAAGAATAATGCTATCCAAATGTATTATAACAAAGGATGCTCTTAAATGCCACATTTTCCAAAAGAATAGAAAAATTAAAAAACTTTTAAAACACAGGAAATACAGCAACTTATATAAAACCTTCAGGGATATGTAGGAAATGTAATGAGGATACATCTCTAAGAACAAAACAAAGGTAAGCAAAGCAAACTTAAAAAAAATAGGGTCAGATCCACAAAATATCTATGAAACGATCATCAGAAAAGAACACTGCTATATTTTCCATCTGTCATCTCAGACTACCTATGTCTCCAATCAGACATTAGGCTCTGTTTTACAGATGAACCAAATTCTACAGTTAGAATGTTTGCTCCAAACACAGCTGGATTAAGGAAGTGTCACAAAATATTAGATTATTTTAGAGCCAAGGGAAGTCTTTCCTCTTTACACATAGTATGAGATTGCCCTAGGCTGGGTGCCATGGCTCAGGCCTGTAATCCCAGCACTTTGGGAGGCCAAGACAGGTGGATCACTTGACGTTAGGAGTTAGAGACCAGCCTGGCCAACGTGGCATAATCCCATCTCTAGTAAAAATACAAAAAAAGAAAAAATTAGCTGGGTGTGGTGGTGGGAGCCTGTAACCCCAGCTACTTGGGAGGCTGAGGCACAAGAATCGCTTGAACCCAGGAGGCAGAGATTGCAGTGAGCTGAAATCATGCCACTGCACTCCAGCCTAGGTGACAGGTGAGACTCTGTCTCAAAAAAAAAAAAAAAAAAAAATTTGCATACGGCTAAGCAGTTTTCCCAACACCATTTATTAAATAGGGAATCCTTTTCATACTGCTTGTTTTTGTCAGGTTTGTCAAAGATCAGGTGGTTGTAGCTGTGCTATCTTATTTCTGAGATCTCTATTCTGTTCCATTGGTTTATGTGTCTGTTTTGGTACCATTACCATGCTATTTTGTTTACTGTAGACTTGTAGTATAGTTTAAAGTCATGTAGCATGAGGTCTCCAGCTTTGTTCTTTTTACTTAGGATTGTCTTAGTTAGACAGGCTCTTTTTTGATTCCATATACAATTTAAAGTAATTTTTTCTAATTCTGTGAATAATGTCAATAGTAGTTTAATGGGAATATCATTTCTTTGGGCAGTATGGCCATTTTCATGATATTGATTTTTCCTATCCATGAGCATGGAATATTTTTCCATTTGTTTGTGCCCTCTCTTATTTCCTTGAGCAGTGGTTTGTAGTTCTCCTTGAAAAGGTCGTTCACGTCCCTTGTTAGCTGTATTCTTAGGTATTTTATTCTCTTTGTAGCAATTGTGAATGAGAGTTCATTCATGATTTGGCTCTCTGCTTGTCTATCGTTGGTGTATAGGAATGCTTGTGATTTTTGCACATTGATTTTTGTATCCTGAGACTTTGCTCAATTTGCTTATCAGCTTGAGGAGCTTTTGGGCTGAGTAGATGGGGTTTTCTAGATGTAGGATCATGTTGTCTGCAAACAGAGACCATTTGATTCCCTATTTGAATACTCTTTATTTATTTCTCTTGCCTGATTGCCCTGGCCAGAACTTCCAATACTATGTCGAATAGGAGTGGAGAAAGAGGGTATCTTTGTCTTGTGCTGGTTTTCAAAGGGAATGCTTCCAACCTTTGTCCGTTCAGTGTGATATTGTCTGTGGGTTTGTCATAAATGGGTCTCATTATTTTGAGATATATTCCATCAATGCCTAGTTTATTGAGAGTTTTTAAAATGAAGGGATATTGAATTTCGTCAAAAGCTTTTTCTGCATCTATTGAGATAATCATGTGGCTTTTGTCATTAGTTCTGTTTATGTGATGAATTACGTTTATTGATTTACACATGTTGAACCAGCCTTGAATCCCAGGGATGAAGCCAACTTGGAAAAAAAAAAAAAAAGATTGCTCTTCTGATTCACTGAAATTGAAACAGAAAGAAAGAAAAACACAACTTATTAGTCAATAATTTGAACTCCTCCTCTTAGCAGCATCTCCTGGTCAGCATTATAATAATTATTCAAAAGCAGTGATTCTGAATATGCAAAAGCAGTGATTCTGCAAATACTCTCAGAAATTCTCAGATCATTTGAAACATCTACTATAAGTTCTCAAAATAAATGAGAAAATATTACTGTATTATTTAAACAAAGTCCATTTCTTTGTTATAAACCACTGACTACACCCCAGGAATACTTCAAGGAAGAAAGGACACAAGAAGATTTCGGGGTAAGAGCTAAACAACTAGAAGTTTGAGGAAATCGATTTATTTAGTGGAAATGATTTTCATTTACTGATAGATAACATGGCAAAGCTTAGAAATTCCTATATCTTTATTATCTAGGAATTCATCCTCACATACTAAATTGGAGACACACGCACATGCAATAGAAAGCCTCAATTTTCTTTCAGAGACCTATGAGATGTAATGTCTTAGAATCCTGGTTTATTAACACTAACGCCATTAAAACTTTTGTAATATTTTGAAACTTGAATTTTAAAAAAAGGATTAAGTTATGAAGACGAGTAAAATTTTTCTGTATCCTGGTAATTAACTTGATGTAAATGAAGAGATGCAATTTAAAATTGTATATACTAGGATAATGATTTAAATGAATCTTAGCTAATACAGCTTATGAACTGAAAAAAAAATTAACAAGTTTGAAACTTAGCAAATGCAGAAAGTAACAGAAAGAAAAGCAAAACTTATTCATAATTACATCATTCATAGATAACCACAATTAGCTTTGAAGGTGTAGCCTTCCAGTTTCTTTAGCAAATATATGTTTTACGAGTGTATGGGTGTATAGTTCAGTTTACACTTGGGAATTTTTTTCCTTTTAAAAGCATATTGAAACTTTTGTCATGAGGTTAAATAATTTTTTCTAAAACAGTAATTTGAATAAATTATTAGTATTAATTATACAGCTATCCCGTAACGCTGTACTTAATGAATTTTCAATTATTAAAGTTTATTTTATTTTTAATGTTTCTATTGAATAAACAATGCTAAAATAAATATAATTCTAGATTAACCTTTGCCAATGTCTGGTTATGTCTCAGAGTATAAATGATTCAAAGTTATTTAGCCATTGAAATCACCCATTAATATTTTTAATATATTTTCTTTAAACTGATCTTCAAAAGTCTCTACCACTTTACAATTCCAGCTGACAATGTAAAAGAAAAGTCTGTTTTAAAATATTTTTGCCAATTTTGAACACAATCAATTCTTTATTCTTTGCCAATTTGCCAGACATATTTTTAAGATATCTTATGAGTTAAATCATATTTTCTTAGTGCAGTGGCTTAAGAACATGTGTATAGGAATTTGTCAGTCATAAACTTGTGATTCAACTCTACCACTAAGTAAATTTCGACAACATAACTTCCCTTTTTATTTCCCCATTTCCTCATCTGAAAAGCAGGTTTTATAATAATAATAATATTTTTATATACTTTTAAAATAATACTTTTATAATAATAATAATACTTATCTCCTACATTTGCTATCATGTTTAAATGGTTTAATTTAGCTCAGTGCTTGGCACATGGTAAATGCTTAATAAATAGTAGACATAATTTTGTTGTTACTAATAAAAGCACTACTGATCTAAAATTAATTTGAACTCTTTACATTAATTGAAAATGTTTATTTTTCTGAAATTCCACATTTACTTTTAAGACACTTCAAAATTATTGGAGTTTTATTTTTATTGGTTTATTAAAGTTCTTTAGTTTTAAGCTGCATCATTTTCTTCAACATAATATCTGAAATAAATACGTTATTGCTATTTGTCTTTATCCTTTTAATATGGTTTATGACATTTTCTGAACTTTGAAATTTTATAATTTTCTTTAGTGAAATAGTATGCATTTTCCTATTTAATTTTGCCTTTGCTTGTACACTTACAAAGGTTTTGCCATACTAAGATAAGTAATGGATATTAACATCAAAACACAATATCTAATTAAAGGATTATATGTGCTAAGAAATCTGGGCACCAGCAATATGCCATGACTGAGAATCTACATAGTTAACATTAGAATTTCTGAACAAGGTCACAAAACACATTTGATTATTTAATATTGTCGTGCATGAAAACAATGTATCAATAAAAACATATGCCAATGTCTGTTGAACAGTAAAACTAAAAGAACATGCTAATAGGAAATAAGGATTAGGCCAAATGTCAAAGGATATGCTTTGAAAGATTCATAAATAGTGATTAAAAATGTAGATTAAAATAAAACTATCTGAGTGTAATGTTCCTGTGTTAAATTATCCAAGAAAATTTGGTCACCATTACTCTCTACAATTTAAATTGATTGTTGTCAACATGTTTGCATAACATTAGAATACCCACAAAATGTTGAATTACTCTGTTTTAGAGGTTAGTGTTTCAGTTCCTTTTCTCTAAGAACATGCATTAAAAGACTTAAGTTTTTATTGTTTCTGAATGACTAATTTTTATTTTGATGAGCAGATTTCTAAAGCAATAAATTCCTCATGGCATATCTTAATTTTTTCTTTGTGTGTATTGGAGACATAGGAAATATGTTTTTTCCAGTTACTAGTTATAGATTCAACAATGCCAGAGAGACACTTCGGAAAACACTATAACAGACCTCAGGAGACAGCTGGGTCATTGAACATCATTATTTCAGAATCGTGGTCATACCTAGACCTTCAGACATTTGCATTTCAGTTAGCCTCGACACACTACACAGAAATCATTTCTTATATAGTCCTAAACAAGAAGACTCAACTACAATCTTTTCGTTATTTTTAATAAAATTCATGTAAATATTTAAGAAGAAAATACAGGCTTTTCTTCTTCTACAATGTGCTTAATGAAGTGATTGTGATTATTGAATAGACTTCATGTGAATACTATTTCATGAATAATACTTCCCAAAGTTATAAAGGGTCAGATGAGAGCATATATTACTTGAAAAGAACTTGGCTCCATCTCTGTTAATTACAAAGACTTCCTGGGATTACTGTTGAATAGTTATTATGATAATGATCTTTCTCTATATAGATGTAAGGTAATTACGTAATTAGCAGATGGCAATAAAATAATTGTGGTAATATTAAAATGCTGATAGGTTTATCTAGGAAAAATTAACTACTTTGCAACTAACAAAATGAGAGTAGCCAAACATTCTTACATACTATGTAAGTATTTTTCTAAATGTTCCAGATGTATTAAATCATTTAATCTTCACAACCATTCCATGAGATAGATAATGATGTCAAACAAGGAAAATGAAACAAAGAGGAATTATGTAGCAGGTCTGAATTCACATAGCAAATACAAAAGAGCTTTGTTTAAAATTTAGGCATAATTACTCCAAGATTTACACTCTTAGCCACTTACCATCCTAACTCAAAAGAAGAAAACCCATAATATTATTTATTTGAATCAGATTTTCAAATTACTTTAACACAATGCATCTTCAAACTGAGAATCAGCACCACCTGTCTTAGTCTGCAGACACAATTCCAACTTTGAACATGAGATTCAAGTATGTAACCTGGGTATATTCTTCTAGCACTCTGAAGATGTTCTATATTTGAAAATGTAAGAAAGAAATAAGGCAATTGTTGAGGAAAAGAGAGAATAAGGGAGGATAGATTAATCACCTTCCAGAAATCTCTTTCTTCATAAGTTTATGACTAAATCTTGGCATACAGGGAAACTCAGACGAATACAGTCACCATGCCATGGCAATTTTATGTAACCTTAAAAAATCAACTTCAAATATTATCCTTTCTAGTTTTTCTATTCCCACTTTTATTAAACATACTCAAAAGTATGTAAATTTAGATTATACAATATTGTGCAATCATATACATTATGAAGAAATGACAAATCCCTAATTTGTTTCACAACCTCTATCTTTCATCCTCAAATCCTCGTGAGGCAGTACCAAAAGCTTTTCATTTCTGACAGTATAAATCTGAACATTTTTAGAAAGGTTTTTGATTGGCTCTCAAATGATTATAGGAAAAAAGTCTATATCCAGTCACATAGTGTAGAAGGATTTTAGGATTTTCAGCATATTGTACAGTCAAATATTTAAAAGAGTAAAATAATTCTACTTCTAGCCAATGTGGAGAAACAGGAACTTGATTTACTATTCTTCCCAAAACAACCAAAATAAAAGACACATAAAAATACAAAACTGTATGTTATGATACTATATATCAGGTAATAAAAGATATTTATCTCTGAGAGATGAGAAGTAAAGTAGGTGAATCTCAGGATTATTTCACTTTATTGCCTGGAGAGATATTCAAGGCTACAGTAAAATGAGGAAGAATCTGGGCAGAATCTAGTGATTTCCTTCTAGGAGAAGGAGCCGGTAATGTAGCTCCTTCCATAAGAGAAATGAGTGGCTAGCATTTTCACCAGAGAGTTAGTGCCAGAGAGAATAAAGCTGGGGAGGGTAGGGGGAGGGCAGGAAGAGATATATTCAAGGCTATAGTACAATGAGGAAAAATCTGGGCAGAATCTTGTGATTTCCTGAGCTGAGGAGAAGAAGCCAGTAATATAGCTCCTTCCATAAGAGAAAAGGGTGGCTAGAATTCGCAGGGGTTAGTGCCACAGAAAATAAAGCTGCAGAGAGTTGGGGGAAGACAGTAGGGGGAGAAGCTGTCTGGAGAAATGCAGGTTTCTTCAAGCCTTCACTCATACTGATCAGTTCATGCCATATGATGTTACCACCAGAAACCAGAGATTAAACAGCCAAAAGAATTAGAGGAATAATGCCTATTCCCATCAGCCAGAGTGGGAACTTAAAATTCATGAAACATTGGGTGTATAGGTAGGTAACTCAGAAGTGAATTGCTTCACAAGTGAAGTCAAATTAACTGTAAACAAAAACTCCTCTGGTCCTGATTAAAACAATCTTAAAAGCCAGACCAAAAGGATCAAATTATTTTCACATAAATTAACTGCTCAAGAATATATGTAGAAATACAAAAATATCCAGCGCCCAAAAAGATAAAGTTAGCAGTATCTGGTATCTAGTATAAATTACCAGATATGAAAAGAAACAATAAAATACAATATATGCAAGAAAAAAATTAATCAATTAAACTGACCCTGAAAAATACAGAAAATAGAATAGATGAAGCTATCACAATAGTTATTAAACTTTATTCCATACGTTGAATTAGCTAAATTGAACTTGTTCAGCAGAGAAGTGCTAAGACCTAACTCAAACTTCTAGAGTTGAAAGCAGTGTCTCAAATGCAAAATACACTAGATGGGATTAATAATAGTAATTTATACCTTATATAAGAAAAGATAGAAGAGATGGCAACATAAACAATTCAAAAATGAAGCAGAGAAGAATAAAATGATGAGAAAAACATTAACTGAGCATAAATCAGCTGTGGGACAATTTGAGTCCTGGTGTAATTTGAGTCCTGAAGCATAAAAGACAGAGGAAAAGCAGAAAATACATTTGCAAAAAATAATGACCATTTTTTCCAAATTTTTGGTTCACGAAAAATCTCAATCAAGCACAAGCAAAATTAAGGAAACTGTAGTAAAATATATCTTAACCAACTACTTAAATCCAATGATAAAAAGAGCCAGAGAAAAAGGCACAGTATATTCAGAGGAAAAAAAAGATGAAAAATTACAACAGACTTCTCATTAGAAAACTGAACATCAGACATCAGTTGAGGAGTAACTTTAATGTAGTGAAGTAAAAATGCTATCATTCCAGAATTCTGTACCCAGCAAAATGTATTTTTAAATGCTGAAGAAATAATAGCTGAACATACAGAAGCTAAAATACTTCATCATCAGTATGTCTGAACTAAAAGAAATGTGTTACCGGAGGAGTAACTAATAACAGATGAAAGTATAATCTACACAATTGAATAAAGAGCGCCAGAAATATAACTACATAAAATATATCTTTCTTATTTAAAATTTTTAAAAGATAATTAACTGTTTAAGTAAAAATAATAACACTATATTGTTGGATTTGGAGCTCATGTAGAAGTAAAACGTTTGACAACACCACCACAAAGGCCAGGAAAGAAAAGATGAAAATGTAAGGTTTTTATACTAAAAGTGAAATGGTATTATATTTGTGGAAGGTAGACTATGATAAGGTAGACATGTATACTATAACCATTAAAACAACAACTACAATAACACCACAAATAATTATAGCTAATAAACAATCATGAAAGAAAAAAGAAAAACACATAAATTTACCAATAAATCAAAAAAAAGGTAGAAAGAGGGAGAAATAAGTTAAACAGAACAGGAGGACAAGAAATACCGGCCAGGCGCAGTGGCTCACACCTGTAATCTCAGCACTTTGGGAGGCTGAGGCAAGTGGATCACCTGAAGTCAGGAATTCAAGACCAGCCTGGCCAACATGAAGAAACCCTGTCTCTACTAAAAATACAAAAATCAGCCAGGCATGGTGGTGGGCACCTGTAATCTCAGCTACTTTGGAGACTGAGGCAGAAGAGTCGCGTGAACCCGGGAGATGGAGGTTGCAGTGAGCCAAGTTCGCATCACTGCACTCCAGCCTGGGTGACAGAAATAGCAAGATGCTGTATTTAAACCAAACCGTGGCAATAATTATATTAAATGTAAATGATCAAAATGCTCCAATTAAAAGACAGAGACTGTGAGTGTCTAATTAATATTGAAATGGACAAGAATGAAAATAAAGTAATACTCTTACTATTCCAAAGAAATTCAGTCTAAAAATAAATTAATGAAAGAATAAAACATTACTTGGTCCTAACTAAGCAAGATGTATATCTCTGGTGGAAGTTGAGGAGCCGTGGTAATCCAGCAAGTCATGTCAGAACCCGAATAGAGAGTGTTTGTCCATCACATGTCAAACTTCATGGTGAAGAGTGGGATTCAGGAGGATAGTTGAGTGCAGGATGTTGGGGCCCATAAGGCTTCCATGTATGGGAGTGAGAGTGTGGCCAAGCACTGAATGTCAAAGGACTAACCATTATAAAGAGGGCATGGTGCGTGGCTTAGAATATGGTACTGAAGCCCAGGCAAAATGAGGAAGGTAACCAAATGAGGGAAGCTATGGAAGCCCTGGGTAGCGTATCTGAGCTGGAGTAGGGTTAGGAATGTGTTAGTAACATTTGAAACAACCAATTGAGTAAATATCTTCAGGCTAATGGAAGGCAGGTTTCTCCATTTTAGAGAAGAAAGAGACACTTATAGAAAGAGAAAAACCTAGAACAAATCTTATGGTATTGATTGGTTTGGAGATATTGTGAACATGTGATTTTTAACTGACATGATATTGGTAGACATGAGATAGAGATAGTAATATCCTAGCTCTATCATATGAGAGGATTTTGAACAACATACCTTAATAACAATAAACAAATATAGTTCGCAGTTTTCGTTTTCCAAATTTCATTGACAAAATGAACCAGAACATCCTTAGAACAGGTGTCCCCAAATCGCTAGCCACAGAATGGTACTGGTCTGTGTCCTGTTAGAAGTGGGGCCACACAGCAGGAGTTAAGCGTCAGCCAAGCATTACCTCCTGAGATCTGCCTCCTGTCAGATCAGCTGTGGTATTAGATTCTCATGGGAGCTCAAACCCAGTGGTGAACCATGCATGCAAGAGACATGGGTTGTGTGCTCCTCATGAGACTCTACTAACTAATGCCTGATGATCTGAAGTGGAACAGTTTAATCCCAAAACCATCCCTCCACCTCCTACCCATGGAAAAATTGTCTTCCACAAAACCCGTCCTTGGTGCCAAAAAGGTTGAGGACTGCTGCTTTAGAGAAATGACTGATTCCAGTTCCAGGACAGAGGAAGTATAAAACTAACCTTACTTTTTTCATGCCAGACAGTAAGGGAGTGTTCAAAAACCACAGACACACTCCCAAAAGATACACAAAATATCTTGAAAGTGCTTCTATTAACCAAATCTTGGGGAATTTGAGATATAAATAATGAGCATAAAGATTTTTAACCCAAATATTAAAATAAGAATATGTGAGTACATACTAATATAAATAAGTGAATAAAATTAAAGTTTGAAGAGAAATTTAAAGTTTGAAGTAAACTAATATCTAGTTTCAAAGTACCTTCACAAAATTACAGTGAGAAAAAAGAGAAATCTTATTCATAGGAGTCTAGCCAACACCTCTTAATTAAAGGATTAAAGTTACTATCACCAATGGTGGAATGAATGGAAACCACATAGTATCTTATATGTAATGTAAGAATGCATAGGTAAAAAACACATTCATGCTTCTGTGATATCCCTGCCAAAGAAGCATAATCTATTGATGAAGAACCATCAAGCAAACAGAAACTGAGGGGCTTTCTATAAAATAAGTGGCTTCCAATCTTCAAAAGTATCAAAATCACATGCGTTAAAAAAAGTTGAGGAAGTATTTCAGATTTGAGTAGACTTAAGAATAATCAAGTAAATGTAACATACATTTATAGACTAGAATCTTCTGCTTTAAAGGACATTTTGGAGGACAATTGGTGAATATTAAATAAATTTTGAGAATTAGTTCCCATAATCTATCAGTGTTCATTATCTGATTTTGATGGTTATACTATGTACAAGGATATTAGAAAATTGTCTTTGCTTATAGAAGTATGCCAACGTGTTCATTGGTAATGAAGCATCAGTTTGTCTAATTTATTTTAAATGCTTCAGGCTAAAAAAAATATAGTTTTGTACTATATGGGTAACATTTTTTGAGATTTTTTAATTTAAAAATTAAATTAAAAATGTGTTAAGTATTTACACATGTAAATACTACAACTTTCTTAAAATTATTAACAAAATGTAAAAGTTAAAATATAAGTTAGAAAACATTTGAGATAAATATTAATACATATCACTAAGATTTCATGTGGGGAAATATAAAGCTAAGATCTAATTCAGATACGGTAGGATTTAATAAAAAATTTGAGAGGCTAGGGAAGTGAAAGTCAGAACTGGCAGTACTTAGGAAATCAGGAAGCGCAGGGATTGCAAAATATCATCAATTTTAATATTAGTTGCTTACAGAATCAAAATGGGTAATTTGCAAAAGAATATTCAGAAACATTTGGTAACATTTCTTACACATCATCTGTCAGACCATATTCCTATTATGCTACTGCAGCAGAAGGAACAATGGTTTCTCTTTCTATTGCACTTTCCAAGTCTTGTGTAGATGCTTTATATTGCTAGAATCAAATCCAAAAACATGCTGGCAAGCATTTTGGAAAATGTAATTCCCAGGCTTTCAACTCTCAGTATATAGAGGAGCCCATAGAAGAGGGAAAATGGCATTTAGTTGGCAGTAGATAATTCTGCACATGATAATTGTATTAATATATAAGGATCTTATTAAAAGTTAATGGATTGATTAATTTAGAAAACCTTAATTGAAATTTTATTGCAGGACATACACGGAAAAATCACAGGAAAAAATATACATTTTTAATAAGTATGACAAATATGTAAAATGTACTTTTTCTTCTTCATTAAGCAAAATTAAATTTATGCCTGTTTTTTTTCTGGGAAAGATGTAGTAAGTTGGGCAAGCTCATATATAAATAATAATATACACCACCATAAACTTTAGGACACAGATTTGCAAAATGTATTAAGTGGCCTAAAATATGTAGTCTGTCTCTGTGATTGGACTTCATAGAATGCATTTTTAAAAATATTCAGGCAACAAATATTTATATAAGTGGATACCTTTTTCTTATTAAAGAATGGAATCAACATAAGAGCCAAACAATAGGGGAATTCCTAAAAAAAAAAATCATTCCACAGGATAAAATGTTATGTAACTATTAAAGATCATGACCTTAACAAATATTTACTTAAAACTAGAATTAGTAAGAAGAAAGAAATAATAAAGATTACTGCAGAAATAAATGAAATAGAGACTAAAAAACACAAAAGATCAACAAAATGAAAACTGGGTTTTTCAAAAGATAGACAAAATTGACAAATAGTTAGCTAGAATAATTAAAAAAGGAAAGAAGATCCAAGTAAATAAAATCACAAATGAAAAAGGAGACATTTCAACTAATAACACAGAGATACAAAATATCATTAAATTATATTATGAAAAAGTGTAAGCCAACAGACGAGAAACCTAGAGAAAATGGATAAATTCCTTGACACAAACAAGCTACTAAGAATGAAGCAGGAAGAAATAAAAAACCTAAACAGACCAATAACTACTAAGATTGAAGCAGTAATAAAAAGTCTCCCAACAAAGAAAAGCCCGGGACTAGATAGATTCACTGCTGAATATTACCAAACACTAAAGAACTAAAACCAGCCGGGTGCCGTGGCTCAGGCCTGTAATTCCAACATTAGGAGGCCAAAGCAGGTGGATCACTTGAAGCCAGGAGTTCCAGACCAGTCTGGCTAATATAAAAATCAGCCAGGTGTGGTGGTAGGTGCCTGTAATCCCAGATACTCAGGAGGCTGGGGCATGAGAATCACTTGAACACCGGAGGCAGAGGTTGAAGTGAGCCAACATCACACCACTGCACTCCAGCCTGAGTGACAGAGTGAGCCTCGGTCTCAAAAAAAGAAAGAAAAGAAAGAAATACAACCAATTATTTGTAAACTATTGTATAAAACTGAAGGGGAGAGAATTTTTCATTCTGTGAAGCCAGCATCACTCTGATACCAAAACCAGACAAGGGCGTAACAAAAATGAAAAGTACAAGCCAATATCCCTGATTAACATAGATGCAAAAATCCTTAAGAAAATACCAGCAAACTGAATCCAACAGCACATAAAAAAGATTATACACCGTATTTCAGTGTAATTTATCCAGGGATGCAAGGTTGATCACACATACACAATTGAAGAAATGTAATACAGCACATCAACAGAATAAAGGAAAAAACCATGTGAGTATCTTAATAAATGCAGAAAGAAACATTTGATAAAATTCAACATTCCTGCATGATAAAAGCTCTCAAAGAATTAGATTTAGAAGAAACATATCTAGACACAATAAAGACCATATATAGCAAACCCACAGCCAACATCATACTGAATAGGGAAAAATTGAAAACTTTTCTCAAATAACTGGAACAAGACAAAAATGCTCACTTTCACCACTTTTATTCAACACAGTACTGGTAGCCCTGACCAGAGCAATTAGCCAAGAGAAAGAAATAAAAGACATCCAAAATGGAAAGGAAGAAGGCCAATTGTCCCTCTTTTCAGATGACGTGATCTTGTATATCGAACAACTTAAAAACGTTACCAAAAATCTTTTAGAACTGATAAATTCAGTAAAGTTACAGGATAGAAAAATCAATGTACAAAAAAATCAGTAGCATTTCTATACACCAATAACAAACTAGCTGAAAAAGAAATCAGGAAAGCAATCTCATTCACAATAGCAAAAAAAAAAATAATAATAGAAATAAATATAACCAAACAGATGACAAGTCTTCTCGATACAATTATAAAACTCTAGTGAAAGAAAATGAAGAGGATGTAATCAAATGGAAAGACATCCCATGCTCATGAATCAAAAGAATTAATATTGTTAAAATGAGCACACTATCCAAAGCAATGTAAATATTCCATACAATTCTTATCAATATATGAATTACATTCTTTGCAAATATAGAATAAACAATCCTAAAATTGATATGGAGCCACGAAAGATTCTGAATAGCCAAAGCAATCTTGAATAAAAAGTACAAAGCTGAAATCTTCAGAGTATCTAACTTCAAAATACACTAGAAAGCTACAAAACATACTATTAATAGGAAGAAAACCAAACAGTGTGGTAACTGGCATAAAAACACACACATGACCAATGGAAAATAATAGATATTTTAGACATAAATCTTCATATTTATAGCTAACTGATTTTTCACACCAGTGTCAAGAACATACAATGGGGACAACATAGTCTCTTCAATAAATGGTCCTGTACAACCTGGATATCCATACGAAAAAAAGAAAAACTAAATCCCTATTTCTCACCATATACAAAAATTAACTCAAAATGAATTAAAGACCTAAGGGTAGGACCGGAAACTACTGAAAGAAAACATAGGGAAATTCTTCAAGACATTCATTCTGGCAAAGATTTTATGGATAAGACCACAAAATTATAGGCAACAAAAGCAAAAATAGACATATATTATATCAAACTAAAAAGCATCTGTACAGCAAAGGAAAAATATCAGAAGAGTGAAGAGATAACTTATAGAATGCGAGAAAATATGTGCAAATCATTCCTCTAAAAAGAGATTAACATTCAGAATATAGAGGAACTCAAGTCAACAGCAAAAATAAAATAATTCAATTTAAAATGGGCAAATTATCTGAATAGACGTTTCTCAAAAGAAGACATACAAATAGACAACACATATGAAAAAATGCTCAACATCGCTAATCAGCAGGGAAATGCAAATCAAAACCATAATGAGATGTCACTGTAACCCAGTTAAAATGGCTACTATCAAAAAGACAAAAAATAACAAATGCTAGTAAGGGTGCAGAGAAAGGGGAACTCTCATACAGTGTTGGTGGGCGGAATGCAAATCAGTACAGCCATTATGCAAAACAGTTTGTAGACTCCCCCCTACAAAAAAAACTACAAACAGAATTACCATATGATCCAGCAATCCCACAACTAGGTATATATCCGAACAAAAGCACATCATTATGTCTAAGAAATACCTGCACTTCCATATTGCTGCACTAGTCACAATAGTCAAGATACAGAATAAATGTAAGCATCTATCAACAGATGAATGGACAAAGAAAACGTGGTATATATTCACAATGGAAGACTATTTGGCCATAAAAATGAATGAAATACTGCCATTTGTGGCAATATGGATGAACCTGAAAGACATTATGCTAAGTGAAATAAGCCAGGTACAAAAAGAGAAATAACACATATTCTCATTCACATGTGAAAACTAAATAATTTGATCTCATAGAAGTAGAAAGTAAGAATAGAATAGTGGTAGCTAGAAGCTAGGATGGGTAGGGAGCGGGGGGATAGAGACAGGTTGATTGCTTAAGGAATACAGCTAAGTAAGAGGAATCAGTTCTAGTGTTCTACAGCACTGTACAATGAATATAGTTCACAGTAATTTATTCCATATTTTTAAGTATCTAGAAGAGAGAATTTTGAATGTTCCCAACACAAAGAGATGATAAATAGAGGGGCTAGATATGCTAATTACTCTGGTTTGTTTATTACACATTGTATACAGGTATAGAAACATTGCACTGTACCTGATAAATATGTGCAATTATTATGTATCAATCAAAATTATAATAAAGTAATAAATTTAGATGGTAAAAATAAATAAAAGAGAAAAAATTCTTAGTATGCACTTAATTTTTAAAACCATGGTAAATAAAAAACAGTATCAGTGTCAAATAGGCATATATACATAAAGACTGACAGATATTATTAATACTGTATTTTCTTTCTTCCTTATTCTGTTAAAATATTTCCCAAAATTTCCACAATTCGTTTATGACAAATAAAATTAAAAAAATAACATTTTTACATGAAATATATTTCTAAAGCCCCCCCCCGCCCTTTTTTTTTTTTTTTTTTTTTTTTTTTTTTTTTTTTGAGACGGAGTCTCACTCTGTCACCAGGCTGGAGTGCAGTGGCTCCATCTTGGCTCACTGTACCCTCTGCCTCCCAGGTTCGAGCGATTCTCCTGCCTCAGCCTCCCAAGTCACCGGGACCCAGCTAATTTTTGTATTTTTAGTAGAGATGGGGTTTCACCATATTGGCCAGGATGGTCTCGACCTCTTGACCTCGTGATCTACCCACCTCACCTTCCCTAAGTGCTGGGATTACAGGCGTGAACCACTGCGCCCGGCCTACTAAAGCCCTTTTAAGAAACTAACGAAAAAAATGCAGATAGGGCAGAGCAAGAGATTTAAATATTATATTTATTGGCATGTAGGAAATAAGTGAAGTCTACGTACATAAAAAGAAAAGAAGTCGAATGTTAAGACTGGAGAGAATGACTACATTATAGTCCTTGTCCTGTTGTAACTCTTCTAGACATCCTAATTTGAAACTACTGATAAAATATATGTGCTAATATATCATTCCATTTACTGTTGAGTATCAACTCTGTATTGATGACCAATATGATTGTAGTTTAGAAATGCAATTTCATTTCTAACACCTTTTTACTTATCTAAGAGCACAGTTTATTTCAATTTTAGTGATAAGGTCCAAGGCAATGAGTGGGGCCATTTGTCTGAAGCACTCACTGTTAAATAGCACATACAGAGATCTTGAATGGCAAATATTAGAAAAAATATCTATATTTAGTATTAAATATTTGAAGGCTTTTTCAGATTTGTACCAACATTCTTACTTGAGATTCCGCAATCAAAATGGCTTATTTAAATTAGTAGTTCAGATTCAGCGCCTCCCCCGACAAACACACACCCTTATATCAAAAGAGCTTACATATGATGACTAGTGACATCTGAATAAAAGCCATGCCTATTAATATCAAAATGAAGAGAATCATGGCCATATGAAGCTGAATGTTGTAGCTTCAGACAGTGTTCACCTAAAGAAATATTGATATCATTGACCACTCTAATGAGGAACGTCCTCCCTCCATTAAACCCAGTTAAAATGACTGATCGATTTGGTCAACGTTTTGCCTCTATTACTTGACTCTGCACAGCACAAGGTAGACAGGTTTGCAGGTAATGTTTTCCAAAGTCTCTAATTTGAACTAAATCTATATAATTTCTAAATGTATCCCATCTCTTCCTCCTGGCCCCTCTCCATCTTGTTCCTTACACGTAAGCGTAAGCCTTTTTCTTTCTGCACTTTTGAACTTTCCTCACTTCCAGTTTGTCTATTGTGTATTTTCTTAACTGATTTTGCTCAAATAAAATGCTTTTAGAGGCAGAAAGAAAAGTGTTGCAATGACCACATATGTCATTAGGACAGCTCTGTTATCTCAAACTAAATATTTCAGGTAATACATTTTATTAAAGTGTATTTTTATTTTTTAGCTATTCAGGGCACAACTAATTTTTGTATTAAAAAATCATTAAAAACCCAGAATTGCAACTTGCTCATAATAGAATGCATTATTGAGATATATTGTACCTACTGAATCTTCTATGCTTACAGTCTAGGCCCGTATTTGGAAGAATAAATAAGATATAATTTCCCGCTTTCGTTAAGTTTAAAGTCTATTGAGATTAACTTAATGCTAAGCAGGCTACTATAATTTAGTCAGCAACGACCTGGGATAGAGTACTTTGAAAGTACACAGGAAGACTTCCTGGTGCCTTCCATCACTTTAGATGACACTTAGACCAGAAAGGATTGAGTATGAAATATCCAGGAGAAGAGCCAAAAGGGAATTTTATCAGAGAGAACGAAGTCATGTAAAAAAATTGACAGTGAGAAAAAATAAGGCAAATCTGAGGAATTTAAAAGTATTTTTGTATCTGTATCACTAGAATGTAAAAGATAAGGTATGAGTTGAAAATATTAGATATGCTGGTGAAATACATAGGAGTAATTATTTACCCTGGGGACACTTTAAAGCATTTCAGAATACTATATAAACAAGGGAGTTAAATGTATTCAGATTTATGATTAATTCATTGGCACTAGTGAAGTTTTTGAGAGCTAGCAAGCTCTGATGAGTGAGTAACAGTCATGGCATTTTATTATGGTTTATTGTTGTCATGGCAGTTTATTTCAACAGTTACCAAGTAAAACTGGTCTTACGGTAATAACAGATCATTTCAGCAGCTGGCTTGCAGCATAATCCCTCTGAAGGCAATTGTATCCTGAGTGTTTTCCCCTCCACCCCGGTCTCTTGACTCTAATTTAGTTAGGTATGATAAGATAACTTCAATTCATATAATCAATTTTCACACAATTTAAACAAACTGGATCACTTTCTCAAAATTATATAAACTACTACAACTCATTTGATATAAGGTGAAGTTATCTGAGTAGCCCTATAACTATTAATGCAATGGAATTCATGGTTTAGAAAATCTCAGAAAAAAAAAGTGAGAAAAAATATTTTGACTGTAACAATGTCAATATCCTGGTTCTGATATTACATTATACTTTTGCAAAATGTGATCATTAGGAAAGCTGAGTAAAACGTACACAGGATCTCTGTGTTATTTCTTACAAATGCATGCGAACCTACAATTATTACAAAATAAAAAGTTAAAAATATTATGACAAATTAACTGCCATTTTAAATTCAAAAAATAAAATTTTAGATTTGTAGCACGGATATTATTTATCTTCATATTATGTAATACCACCTTTAACTACAAATATGAAAGTATTTTACTTATATGCAAAATAACCAGTATTTTGTATTTTTCATTTTCTTTCATTTTAATAATTTCAACTTTTATTTTAAATTCAGGGGGTACATATGCAGGTTTTGCCACATGGATATATTGCATAATGCTGAGGTTTGAAATATGAATGATCCCTTCACTCAGGTAGCAAGCACAGTACCCCAATAGTTAGTTTTTTAACACTTGCCTCCTCTCTTCCTTCCCACCAGTAGTCCACAGTGTCTATTGTTCCCATCTTTATGTCCATGAGTATCCAAATTTAACTTGTACTAAAAAGCAAGAATGATGGCTTTCAGCTGCATTCATGTTGCTGCAAAGAACATGATTGCATTCTTTTTGTGGCTGCATAGTACTCCATGGTGTGTATGTACCACATTTTCCTTATCCAATCCACCACTGGGCAGCTAGGTTGATTCCATGTCTTTGCTATTATGAATAGCGCTGCAATAAACATAGGAGTACAGATGTCTTTTTGATAGAACAATTGGTTTTCTTTTAAATATACTCCCAGTAATGGGACTGCTGGGTCCAATGGTAGTTGTGTTTTAAGTTCTCTGAGAAATCTCCAAACTGCTTTTCACAGTGGCTGAACTAATTTACATTCCCACCAACAGTGTGTGAATGTTCCCTTTTCTCCACAGCCTCACCAGCATCTGCTGCTTTTTGACTTTTTAATAACAGCCATCCTTACTAGTGTGAGATGCTATCTCACGGTGGTTTTGATATACATTTCTCTGAGGATCATTGATATTGAGTATTTTCTTCATATTTTTGTTGGTCAGTCGTATGTCTCATTTCAAGAAGTGTCTCTTTATGTCTTTTGCCCACATTTTAATGGGGTTATTTGTTTTTTTTGCTTGTTGAATTAAGTTCTTTACAGCTCAATCATCAGCATTTTTTAATCTTGTGCAAGCATATGTTTTGTTTTTGCTGGAATAGTAGAAATCCTGTTCAAAGATTTTTATTTCACTTCTAACATACATATATTCTAAAAATCCTATATCCAGCTTACAGGGATGTAAGAAATAATTGAAATGAAAGGGAACTATGGATTTCTCTACTTTTCCCTTCCTTAGTGTGCTATTGTTTTCAGCACAAGTGTTTGGCTAATATAATATCAGGAAGTAAAGTGAGTTTGAAAGGATATTAGATGTAAGGCTCCTTGGGCCTTGGAGTCTGTTAGAATGCTGGTATCTTCTTTGAGTGTCTGTTTCAGATGGAAAACAAGGCCTCCCACAACTCTCAACTCCCAACATCCTTAGACACAGACTTGTGATTTTGGAACATGAGCACAGAATTTCAGTGGAATCACAACACTGAGGGAGACTCAAAACAACCTTGAATAATTGTTTGGATAATGCCGGAGAGAAACACGGGTAGTCCAGCCTAACACAGAAGTTATTCTCTGGGCAACTGCAGACCTTATTTACTCATATAAAATTACATTAAAGTTCTATAAAATAATCTTTGAAATATTATGAGAAAATATTTCTATTCTTAGAAGATGGTAGAGTGAAATTATGAGGAGTATATGCTTTGAGTAAGACAGCTTGGATTATGTGGATAAAACAGGAAAAAATGTGGGAATAAATAACATGTGATAGTATGAAACATTCAATGAATGCCTGGGGGATAGTAACACATTATATTCCTGTAGTAGTTGTATATAGATAACAATAGTTGCTGGATAACCATTCGGCAGAGTAAGTATGCAGTTTATATACTAGCAAGAGAAGGTCATGAAAAAAGTTTGAATAAAAGTCTTTGTTAAGTAGTAATTATACAATCTTTTAAAAAGCCATCTGATCTCTGTATGCATATGTTGTATGTCATGTTTTAATGTAACATTGTATTTTAACCACAAAGGACTGAGAGAAAGATATCAGAACCGTGTGTGTGTGTGTGTGTGTGTGTATGTGTGCCTGTGTGTGTGGTTTGTGCCCCCAAGGATTTCAATCCTATTCAGAAACAAGAGAAATAAAAATAATCAACTGGTAGAAGATACATAACTATTTTTTTCAAGAAGATAAACTATTCTTTTCAAGATACATAACTATTTTTTTCAAGAAGAATTTATAATGGTCAAAGCTGTCCAAAGCTAGAATTTTCTGTCTCAGAAATTTGACATTCTGATTTACTAAATCTAAAGAATATATACATGTATGTGTGTGTATACTTTAGAATATATATATACACACAGTATATACTATAGTATATAGAATATACTTAAGAATATAGAATATATGTATCTAGAAATATATGAAATATCTATGTATATATGAAATATATGAATAAATGTATATAGTAATATATGAAATACATACATACATTCTAAAGTATTAATACATATATTTGGAATGTTGGAATAAGATTTCTTGAATTCTTTTTGTTTTGTATATATAATACTAAAGTAATTTAAGAAATTGATTGTAGGTTGGACTACATCTATGCTTTCAAGTCGTTCTTCATTGGCATTCCAACATTCCAAAGTCACCTAAGATACATAATAAATAACTCAAGTGTCCAAATTAATTTAACACTTATTTTGTGTCTGAGGTACAAGATCCATAACTCTGCACTTTTTAAAACCCTAGAGATGACTCTGATATAGTCTGCCAATGGAGCTGCTGACCTAGATGACCTTTCATATCCTCTCAAATTTGATGTTTGGTTTATTTGGTTTCTATCAGTGCTTGGAGTACAGGAATGAGTCTTATGCCTTTCTTTATATGCAGGGCCTTGCTCATAATTGGTATTAGGTAAATGTTTCATAATTAAAAGAACAAATGAATGACTGAATAAAAGGACATCTCATTCCCCCCCACCGACCTCTCTGTATAATACTAAAGACCTTTATAAAAATTAGCATAAAAGTTAATGAAATCAGTATGAAAGATGAAATAGAATGCAGTGGCAAGATGGAAAAAAATATGGGTAAAACAAACTCAATTATTTAACATGTTGGGGAAGAAAAGGAGCTTGGGGGAAAACTATTTAAACTAAGATAGGATGATAAGTTTAAGAAACTAGAACATGCTGAAAAATATGCAGTATATATAACTTGAAACCGAAGAAAAAGAAGGCAATGCATCAATATTGAGAGGCTTGAGGAGTAAGAGACAGGAAAGAAGAAAGCTCTGTCACTGAATCTGATATACTCATCATCCAAATACTACAGGCTAAGAAAAAATATTATGTATGTATTTCCTTTTGCTCTAGGAAGTAGCTTCATTACAAGAACTGTGAATGCATTAAGCATTTCACTGTTCACCTTAAGGGCGTGCTACATAGACTATTTTTTTTTTCCTAGTCTGGCATGCTCTGGGGCATAAAATGATTTGGTTGCCGAAGTTTTGACATTTTAAAATATTTCAATGATTAAATGTTTAATTAAGTCAGTGGACCCTGAGGTCACTTGGCAAAGGGTAGTTTTTTTGTTTTGTTTTGTTTTGATTTTGATTTTGGATCAAATTCATTAAAACACACACACATACACACCCAATTTGAGAAAAGCATTGGTAAATCTGTTGGGAAAAAAGCTTTCCTAAAAATATTCATTTACTACCGTTTCTTGAGTTAATCAGAGTTACAAGAAAGCGGTACTTCTGCATAGAATTATCTGGAAGTGTTTCACTGGAAAAAGGTTCATTATCCTAATAAATGATGGAGTAAATAACAAATAACAGGCCTGGTACAGGCCTGGCTCACACCTGTAATCCCAGGACTTTGGGAGGCCGAGGTGGGCAGACCACTTGAGGCTAGAAGCTCGAGACCAGCCTGGCCAACATGGTAAAACCCCATCTCTACTAAAAATACAAAAGTTAGCCGGGCGTGGTGACATATGCTTGTAATCCCAGCTTCTCCAGGAGACTGAGGCAGGAGAATCACTTGAACCCAGGAGGCGGAGGTTGCAGTGAGCTGATGTCGCGCCACTGCACTCCAGCCTGGGTGACAGAGCGAGACTCCATCTCAAAAAATAAATAAATTAATTAATAACAAATAAATAAATAAATAACAATAATAAATTTAAAATAATATATACATGGGTGGGAAAGCTAAAAACTGGAACATGTAATACCAAGGAATCCTGTAGCTTCTATATGCATCCAACTCTATCCTAACTTAAGATGCAGCTTCACTGTGGACTGATCAAAGTCAGTCAGATTAATAGTGGAAAATTATGCATATTTCACTGTAGTTTAATAATTTAGTGCTGCATTAAATCCTTTGGGGATTAAGGCATTATATGATTAATTTATTCATAAGCAATCGATTCATTGATTCAGGGACATTTGCTAGTTAGTGAGCTCTCCCATTTGCAGACATTGGTTCAGTTTGTTTGTTGTTAGTGTTTTAGCAAAACTTGGCAAAGCTTCCTCCATATAGTAATACAGTTATTCTTTGGTATCCATGGAGGATTTGGGGGATTGGTTCCAGAACCCCTGTGAATACCAAAATCCACAGAGGCTTAAGTCCCTTATATAAAATAGTGTAGTATTTGCAGATAACCTACATACCTTCTCCCATATAGTTTAAATCATTTCTAGAGTACTTATATTTAATTTACATAACAATATAGATGTTGTACAAATTGTTACACTGTATTACTTTTAAATATTTATTATTTTTATTGTTGTATTGTTATTTTTATTATGTTTTTTAAAAATACTTCAATTCATTGTTGGTTGAATTAGAGAAGCAGCGTGCAATTAAAAAAAAAAGTGTGGCATGTGGTGTCTGTAGCATTGAATGAATTTCCATATATATTTATCACGATAATTTTTTGAGACAGAGACTTATGTTTTTATTGCATATTCTGTGTTTTTTTTTTTTTGTTTTTTTTTTTTATGTTCTCCTCCCTTTCTTTCCCCCCTTAAGGAGGTGGCCACATTCTACTTTCTTTCCTCATATGAGATTAGTTTTTGTGCTTCTAGACTTTTGTTTCCCAGTGTCTTAACCCACTGAAAATAATAGAATTTGAAGAAACATGCTGTATCTCTAGACTAAATAAGGATTCTTGCAGGTTGAGTGGTGTGTGTGTGTGTGTGTGTGTGTGTCTGTGTCTGTGTGTCTGTGTGTCTTTGTGTATGGCGCTGTGTGGGGGGAGATGCCATGTGGCAGCATCTCCAAAGATGTGGCAGAACCTCAGTAGTAATGAACACACATTACACTGAGAAGACTGGAAGGGTCCAGCAATTCCAGCCAATATGGTAATTCCCATGCATAAGGAAGGCGCAGACACAATGGGCAATTGGTGTTGCCAGCTGGATAATAAAATTCTTAAAGGAAACATAATCAGTGATGAATTAGTCATCCCTGATGTTTAGTGTGGTTTACAATTCCAAAAACTTGAAGTGAGAAAAACAACAAATATGACTGATATTAAATTATTTACAAGGCTATGGAAATCAAGAGATGAGTTTATGAGTTGAGATTTATACATAATATACAGAAGTTCCTGGTAGAAAAGGCAATAACAAGAATAATGACCATAACCCTGTATGTATAGGGATGTTGTTTGTGTTTTCCCATAGATGGATGAAGCTCATTGAAATCAGCAGAAGTATTGTATGAGTCATTCATGGGCATGGGAGCCTCTTAGATAGAGAAATATATACACTTTGAAGGCAACTCTGAGAGATTTATTCACTAATTGCTTGGGAGAGGATATTGGAATTTCAACAGAAATAATAAAATGTGAAAAATCCTTGGAATTTACCAGACCTGTATCCAACCTCCAGTGCAAGTAACATGAAGATTATCTGTTGATTCTTATTCTGTGGTGAGAGAGACACACTGGCACCATCTTGTGATGACACCAGAGAATAAAACTAAAGGCTAAAATAATAGAACATCTCAGATTATGAATAAGCGAGAAATGGGAGCTCCATGAGCTAGATCATCCATTACTAGAAATACAAGAGGTTAATATCTGATTAAGTGTGAATAACACTGGAATACATTCCAGTAACACAGTAATGGCCATGCATTATTGGTTAAAATCATGGATTATTAAATGACTATATCATGGCAATGCTTTTATTTTTACTTTCTATACTTCATTCTAAATAATTTTCTCAAACTTAAAATAAATACATTATTTTACCTCTAGTCAAACCTGATTTATAAATTATCTTTCTAGTTATCTTTTTTATCTATAAAATGAGTTTGTTATATTAATTGATCTATTAAGCTTCTTCTAGATCCATAAAGTGTCTTACTGACAATGATAATATAATAACAGTTCAGCTTATAGAAGAAAGAAATTTTGGTTCATTAATTTGTCTATTCAACAAATCTTCGTTGTCTCTGGTTTACTAGCTATTATAGTAAGTTATAAATTTGAAAATATGAGTAATATGAAGATATTTTCCACAAAAAGGCTAAAGACTATAGGGACAGACATGTACGCAAATAATCACTCAAGATGCAGTACTCTGCATCACACAGAAATAAGACGATTTTGACTCAATTTTGGCTCACGTCTGTAATCCCAGCACTTTGGGAGGCCGAGATGGGTGGATCACAAGGTCAGGAGATCGAGAACATCCTGGCCAACATGGTGAAACCTTGTCTCTATTAAAAATACAAAAATTAGCTGGGCGTGGTGGTGTGCAACTATAGTCCCTGCTACTGGGGAGTCTGAGGCAGGAGAATAGCTTGAACCTGGGAGGCGGAGGTTGCAGTGAGCTGAGATCGCGCCACTGCACTCCAGCCTGGCGACAGAGCAAGACTCTGTCTCAAAAAAATAAATAAATAATAAAAAATAAATAAATAAAACTATTTGGACTCAATTTTCTTTTTCGTTCATTCAAAAAAGCAGATTCTCTGTGTTGTTATACATAAAGAGTCAAAATTTTAACATTATCTGCCAGAATACTTAAATTCACAGGTATTTTTTTTAAAGAATTGGTGAAGGAAGGTGTATTAGTTTTCACACTGCTGATAAAGACATACCCGAGACTGGGAAGGAGAAGAGGTTTAATTGGACTTAGAGTTCCACATGGCTGGAAGGCCACACAATCATGGTGGGAGGTGAGAGGCACTTCTTACATGGCAGTGGTAAGAGAAAATGAGGAAAAAGCAAAAGTGGAAACCCCTGATGAACCCATCAGATCTCGTGAAACTTATTAACTATTACAAGAATAGCACAGAAGAGGCTGGCCCCCATAATTCAATTACCTCCCTCTGGGTCCCTCCCACAATATGTGGGAATTCTGGGAGAGACAATTCAAGTTGAAATTTGGATGAGGACACAGCCAAACCATATCAGAAGGTAAAGGCAGAGTATAGAAAAGGTAACTGACTTTGGGAGGTCACGGTGGGTGGATCACCTGTGGTCAGGAGTTCGAGACCAGTCTGGCCAACATAGTGAAACCCCGTCTCTACTAAAAAATACAAAAAAATTAGCTTGGCATGGTGGCGGGTGCCTATAATCCCAGCTACTCGGGAAGCTGAGGCAAGAGAATAGGTTAAACCTGGGAGGCGGAGGTTGCAGTGAGCCAAGATTGTGCCATTGCACTCCAGCCTGGGCAACAAGCGCAAAACTCAGAAAGAAGGAAGGAAAAGAAAGAAAGAAAGAAAGAAAGAAGAAAGAAAGAAAGAAAGAAAGAAAGAAAGAAAGAAAGAAAGAAAGAAAGAAAGAGAAAGAAAGAAAAAAGAAGGAAGGAAAGAAAGAAAAGAGAGAGAGAGAAAGAGAGAGAGAAAGAGAGAGAGAGAAAGAGAGAAAGAGAAAGAGAGAGAGAAAGGAAAAGAAAGAAAAAGGAAGGAAGAAAGGAAGGAAGGAAGGGGAAAGAAAGAAAAAGAAAGAAAGAAAAAGAAAGGGAGGGAGGAAGGAAGAAAGGAAGGAAGAAAAAGAAAGAAAGAAAAAAAAGAAAGAAAGAAAGGGAAAAAAAAGAAAAGGTAACTGAATGTTGTTTTTCATTCTCTTAAAGATATGGGATTTGCTATACCAGTGGTATGAGAAAGAACCATTTATTGAGTATGTGCTAAGCACTGTGCTAGGAACTGAATATTTATTGCCAAATAAATATGGGTATATAAAATTACCAAATTTTATATTTTTGTGTGTTGTGGAGGGTCACATCTCTATCTTGATATCATTCTTCTTACTTTATTTATTTATTTTTTTTGAGACAGAGTCTCGCCCTGTCGCCCAGGCTGGAGTGCAGTGGCGCGATCTCGGCTCACTGCAAGCTCCACCTCCTGGGTTCAAGTGATTCTCCTGCCTCAGCCTCCTGAGTAGCTGGGACTACAGGCACATGCCACCACGCTCAGCTAATTTTTGTATTTTTAGTAGAGACGGGGTTTCACTATGTTGGCCAGTCTAATCTTGAATTCCTGACCTCGTGATCCACCCGCCTCAGCATCCCAAAATGCTGGGATTACAGGCGTAAGCCCTGTGCCCAGCCGATACTATTCCTCTTAATTTAAGTCATTATTTCACAGGTCAGAATCTGTCCTATTCCTTCAGCCATCAATCTTTCCCCAGACAAGACTGAAGAATATTAGCAAATTTATTTTGGAGATAGAATTTTTCTCTGTTGGTAATCAGTCTTAAATAATGAAATAGTGTCCTGAGAGAACAGTAGAGGTGCTACTAATTTAGAACATTTTAAATTAGACATAATGACATTGCTAGACATGATCTTGTTAGGATTGTAATAAGGCTATGTCCCCACTCTTTATATGACTCTGAAATCATTCATTTGGAAGGATTCCTGTTCTCATTGAAGACATCATACTTTTTTTTGTTCAAGTGGAAGGATTTATTCTAAAAAATATATTCCAGTTCATCTCATTAATAATGTATATTGTAAGGAACAATCTTGTGCCAGCAGGTGTATAGAACAGTTGGCCCAGTAGGTCATTTCAGTCTCTTATTTCTATAATTCTATGAACCTGCTCTGACAATGTGAGCACTGGAACCCTCAATATTCCTAAAAGCCGAATGGCTGTGAATCAGGAATTTTGATGTCTGGCTGGCGATATTAGCACAAAACTGTCAGAATGAGAAGGGGATCATTTCAACTCCTTAGCAAGATTGAGATAAATCTGGCAGAGCTACTGGATGGAGCATTTGCTAATTAAACTACAATCTCTTAAATTAAAGGATGAAAAAGTGCTAAATAAAGAGAGAAAAATGAATAATACATGTTTAAAAAGATGTTTCTCTATGGGGGTTGGCTGCAGTGTTATTTATGATACCTAAAATTAGAAATATTGTATACTCTAACAATAGAGAAATGATTTTTTGAAACTAAGCTATAGCATGGGATAATCATGCAGCAATTTAAAAGTCTGCATATTATGTTTGATGTAGAAAAAAAATCAAAGACTTAGTTTTAAATCAAAAAGTAAGAAAATCGCAGAACATAATACATAATGTAATGCCATTTTTTAAAAAGTTACTAAATTGTAAATTTGTGCTCTTACATATATCTGTATGTAAACAATACAAGACTCAAAATTATTATCATTGGTTACTCAGAGGAGAAGAATGGGGTTTGAGTAAAAATTAATGGCATTTAGCCACTGTGAATTGCTCATAAATATTATAACAAGAATAGATTTTTATATTACTTTTTAGATAAATGTGTATAAAAATAAAAGAAAAACACTGACACTGCTTAATTTTTCAAAATAAATTTGAGAAGTAGAAGAATATAAGGGAAAGACTTGTTAATCTGGGGAATTGAAACAAACTAGGCACAGGTCTGGGTTTTTCTGAGTCTGAATTTCTTCATCTGTTTTCAGAATAGTTAATAACTAAACCACAAGGTTAATGTGATACCCTATATACAATCACAAGTACGGAGCCTGCTACAGAGTAAAAATGTTCTTAATGGCTACAAAATAATTGTCCTTTCTCCCTTCCCCTTTCACACACTTAAAAAAGAGACAGGTCACTTACCGACTTCTGCTATAGTACTAAGAATGGAAAATTAGTCAAAAGGTGAGTGAAATTTACAGAATTCATAAGAAAACAACAACAAAGCCCGGCCATCGTGCCTCACTATTTGAAAGTATAGCAAAACATATGTTTCAGGACTAATCATTGGGAACAGAGATCTAAAACGGAAGAAAAAATGTTGAACAGATGAACTTTAAAATCCAGACAGAGACAAAATCTGCATTTAGATACATGTGGCTATTTTAAAACATATATATGTCAAGAGAGGAGACAGTAGTTGGGAAGAGAAGGTTACTGAATCACTGGTGTCTGCTTTGGCTTTTCCTTTGCCCTGTAAGGAATCTTGGCTGGAAATTATATGGGAAAATCCAATGAATAAATTGGATATATTCCCTAGTCATTTATCTTCAGCCTGTGGCTCATCAAAGTGGTGCTGTGATGCTGAGACTGCTCCCTGCTCAGGCTGTATTTCATCAGTCTCATTCAAAGAGTGTACTTGCCAAGGAGAGTGTGTAAGAAGCAGGATAGAGAGGAGGTCAATAAACTCATAATCATAGGAGCATCCTGCAATGCCATTGATGAGGCTCTGCACCCCCTGAAAAAGCTTGGGTATTTCCTTTGCTTTATCATTTTATGAATTAGGGCTGAGACTCTGCAGCATATATACTCATGTGGTGATTAAGATCCTTAGAAACATAGGACAAATAACACACCAAGCTCTTGGACAATTTTTATTTCTGGATATATCCTAAGTTGCCTTTTTTTTTTTTTCACCTCTCAGCCATCCTGGCCCTTATTTTTTCTCTCAGAGTAAGGATCTTTCTAAAGGAAGTAAGTGTAAGGAAAAAAAAAAACACCTTTGTATTTCTCCAACTACAAAAGAGATTAGGGAGCTTCCACTTTTGGTCATGATGGCGTAAAGGAGCCAGATTTAACCTCCCATTCTGAAAAACTATAAACTGGATAAAATACATGAAATGATAGTTTAAGACATTGGATAACCAGCAGCGTAGAACAGTGATCACTGAGAAAAGGACCAAGCTAGATGTGCCCTATGATTTCCCCAGCTTACTGGCTGCAGACAGACCTTAAAACAGAGGAGTTAAGAATCTTAACAGAGCTCAGCAATCTCAATGAGTTAAGGAAAAAGACTTCCAAGTTCAAGGAGAGCAGAGCTCTGGAGATATGCAGAGGACTAACATAAGCCGTCTCACATAAGCATGTGGGAAAACTACCACAACCAGAGAAAGAACTAACAGAAAAGTGCAGGTAGAATAATTCAAGGAGCTTACATGGGGCAATAGCAACTGTGGAAGAATCACAGCAGTAAGGGCAAATCAAAACAATGGGCTAAACTGAAAGTCGTGACTCTTGCCTAGGACAATATTCCTAAGAACTAGGTATGACATATTTTACTGAACTTTGGCTTGCTGCCAATGTCCTAGTCCTATGAGTTGCTACTTGGAAGACTGCAGACTCACATATTAAAGATTTCTCTCTTCCAGGCCATAAAACGCAGAAATAAATCACTGCTGCTAATTGAACAGTCTGGATCACTCAGGTAGACACCCACAGTTAGGGCCCATTCTCTGATGACATTGACTGCAATCAAATTACTGATCAAGATAGCACTGCCTGTTCACTGAAAACTCTACCTAGATCTATAATCAAACCAGACATGGTAATCCATCCAACATCACGGAATGGGCACAAAGCTAAAGACTATGTGTTTATGATGCAAATGCTATCCTTGCACATCAAATATTTCATGTGGTGACTCTCACCAATAATTCTCCCATTTGTTTCATGGTGACAGAGGCTATAATGCATGGGGTTTGCCTCTGCTTACTTCTGGCAAATTGACCACATTGGAGTATTTGCCCATTCCTCTGGGCAACGGGGCCTCACTACTATTTCAGTCTGACCAGCTGATTCTGGTAACATATTTTCCCTTGAAACAAAACTATCATGTTTTCAGCTCATCCATAGTCAATGATAATGGTGTACATTTTGTAGCAAAGACTGCTCAACAGTAGGTCAATTGTCACAGCATTTGATGGACACTTCATACCCTTTATTTTCCCCAGGTTGCTGACATCATCATGAGGTGGAATGGACTTCTAAAAATAAACTCAAAAAGGTTTCTGCTCTCTATTGCTCTCACCTTCTCCTCGTCCATACACCTTAGCAAGGCAGTTTAGTAATTAAAAATGGTTGTCCACAACAAAGGTTTACTTATCTTTGTTAATGAAAGAAATGTTGAGTTAGATAAACTATTTAAAAAATCAGGTATTTTGCTATGACCAGTCCTAGGCATGATGTTTCTTCTTCCTCTTGACTTCTACTCTGAGGAAGCTTGCCTTATATGTTTCTGAATGGCCATCTGAATAAAAAAGTGCCTGATAAATTCAAACTTAATTCTAGTTCAGCCACCTGCATTGTCATTTGGGGTGGATGTGGTCTTGGATCATAAAAACAATTACCACTTGCTTGAGTACACTGCTCACTGGGTTTGCCTTTCCTGGCCCCATGCAGGCAAAGGTAGAAATAGATTTCCAAGTTCGCCACTCAGCCTCTGTTGGCATTCAAAGACTAGGCTCTTTGTGAATGCTGGACAGAAATGGGAGTTCCGGCTCCCAGCTAGGCCTTCACTGCTCCATCCGTGGATGGGTTGGAGTACTTCATTACTGCTCCACATTTGGCTTCCACTGACACCATGGATGGGTACCTCATTGGCAATTAGTGGTGGTGGGAGTCCTGGCACGTCATTTGATGTCTCCTGTTTTCATCCCAGCAGGAAGAAGTAGTACCTCTTTATGTGGTCTCCACGTCACCATGGGGCCAGGGGTGGTTGCCATCCCTTCCAGAATGAAATTTTCAGCTCCCTATTCAACCTTCTCTGACACCACCTTGGTGTGGGGAGGGGACTGGGGCCACCCATTATAACCTGATGAGAATAGACATCTATGTTTCCCACTCAGTTTTTCCTGAATAAAAGAAGTATCTCAGTTTTATCTGAGGTGCTTTGCTAGAGTAGAGCAGCTATTATCTAAAAGTTTTTGTCTTGTAATGCTGCCTCTTTTTCTATACTTAAAAGGAGGAATAGGGAAAAACAAAAAACAAAACAAACAAATGAAAAACAAAAAGATGTACTCCATCTTCCCAGAAGTTCTGTTTGGCTCACATTCACAAAAGTTGATTGTTAAAATAAATATTTAAATATCTACTTCCATTAAAAGCCAACTTTTTCAACAAAACTAAGTTGCTAAGAAATTTTGTTGTGAGTAAATTCTACCGGGAGTGGCTATTCCTTAGGCATTTTATAGGTGGGTGTGAATGTATTTGACTCTCCTATCTAGAATTAGGGACCCATTTTGGAAGCATTATAGGCTTTTGCAGATTTTATAGCAGCATTTAGCCCAGAAGAGATTCAAAAGAGGATGAAAGGAAAAAGAACGATCATTCAGAAAAGGGAAACAGACTTCACGGTTAGAATTTTTTGGTACTTAACTCAGAGGAGAAGGGAGGTTCAGCTTCTTTTACAGAAATATGAAGGCATTTATTAAATTCAGTGACCCAATAATATGTGCTTGATTCTACAGAAAAAAAAGTATTAAAATCTTTGCAGAGATTATACAACTCTAGAGTCCTCAAATTGTGAGCATCCCTTAAGAGAGCTTTCAATCCATTTATGTCTTACATTACCATACTTTATAAAAAAATGCTTTTGTGTTTTGTTACTTCCAAACTTTTTAAGTCTCACCTCCGTATGTTTTTTCCCTGATGCCTTATGCTCCAGTCTTTCCATACCCTTCTTAGTGTCCTAAGCCTTCCTGGGACCAGCCAGCTATTATCTCCTCTGACAGAAATGCCCATCCCTTGCCCACCCCAAGCTTTTTTTCTTTGTCCACACCCCACCTCTGTGACTTTATTAAGTCCGTTTTAAATTATTCTAATTTGAGAGTACCACCTATTCACTGTTGCAATCCTGATTAAACTGCCAAATGCCTTATAATTTTAGTATTTCTACTTACTTATCCAATAGCGTGAATGCCAATAACCCAATTCAACAGGTCACATCCCAGGTTGGTAGTCAGCCTTCAACTAACTGCCCTTATGTAGGGGGCTCACTGTAGTCCAACTGTGGATGTGGCTAAGAGGACAGTGATCACATTGTACCAAATAGAACTGCCTGGAGCTGACCCCTTTTTAAGAGAATTTGTAAAGAAGAATATTTTATATAAATAAAATCATATAATATGTGGCCTTTTATATCTGGTTTCTCTCATTCAGCATATTTTCAAGGTTTATTTATCTTGCTTCATGTATTGGGTACTTACTTCTTCCCTTTTTATGGTGGAATGATATTCCTGTGTATAGATATACTACCTTTTGATTACTGATTTGTGAGTTTATAGACATTTGAACTGTTTCAAAATTTGTGTCTATCATGAATAATACTTCCATAAACATTTATGTACAAGTATTTTTGTCATATATTTTCATTTTTGGATATATACAAAGTCATAGGTCACTTAAAGATGAGAATACATTATTAGAAATGTGTCATTAGGAGATTTCATTGTTGAGCAAAGATCATATAATGTACTTACACAAATCCAGATGGTATAGCCAACAACCCACCTAGGCTATAAGTTATAGCTTATTGCTCCTAGGCTGTAAACCTGTACAGCAATTTACTGTATTGCATACTGTAGACAATTATAACACAATGGTAAGTATTTGTGTATCTAAACATGCCTACACATAGAAAAGCTACAGTAAAAATACGGTATTATAATTGTATGGGACCACTGTCATATAGTGGTTCTTTATTGACTAATATGCCATTATGCAGTGCCTGAGTGTATATAAGAATATAATTGCTAGATCACACAATAACTTTATGTTTAACTGTTGGAGGATCAACTAAACTGGTTTTCAAAGCATTTGTGCCACTGTACATTCACACCAACAAAGTGTAAGTGTTCTATTAGGTTGGTGCAGAAGTAATTGCGGTTTGCCATTACTTTCAATGGCAAAAACCGTAAATACATTTGTACCAACCTAATAATTTCACAACATCCTTGCTAACACTTATTATTTTTCATGTTTTAAAACTACAGGCATCGATATGGGAGTGAAGTGGTATCTCATTGTGCTTTTGACTTGCATTTCCATAATGATTAATGATGCTGAGTATATTTTTATGTAATTATCATCCACTTGTATATCTTCTTTGAAGAAATGTCTGTTTAAATCTTTTGCCCATCTTTTCTTGGTGCTTCCTCAGGTGGCTACCAGCCTGCTGGTTTTCCCCGTGAGTGTCAACTCTTAGTTTTCAAGTCTACCATAGAATTGGAAAGGAGTAATGGGAATAGGGAAAATTTACCAAAAAATTTACAGGTTTTACCAAGATTCAACAATCTTTATTAAGTAAATGCTCCCTACATTGCTGCATGTCTTTGGTTAATTTTCAGAATTCTGAAAAAATTTATTCTGTCCATTTTTAACAGTATTCTTATTGCCTCTTTGAAAGGGAGAATTTTCAGAGGTCTGTGTCCTACCATTCCAGAAATACCAGCCTCTATTATAATTTTAAGGAGTATTCTTTTAAACCTTTTTTGTATCTTTCACCTCACAATAGATATATCATCAAACCCTGTTCGTAATTTTCTCAACTTATATCCAGAATACAACTACTTATCATAATTCTCTGCCACCATCTTGGGCTATGCCACTATCATCTTACATCTTGATTGTTACTGAATTCTTCCATAAGGTCTGAATCAACTGTTGTCTTTCTGTAAAACTCAAACAAGCATCTAGGCTGACCTCTTTGAAATGTAAGTCAAAGTATGTCCTTTCTTTGTTTTAAGTACTCTAAGTAGTCTCCTTTCTCACATAGAATAGTATCTAAGTCCTTACAGATGCCTAAAAGTCCCTACATGAACTGATACCTGCCTTCCTTTCTGCTTTCTCACCTCTTTCCTGCTTTCTCATCTTACTTCAACTGCAACGGCCCTTTGTTATTTCTCAAGTATGCTAAGTAGCCTTGCATGACTTCACCTCAGAACCTTTACATTTTCTTTCCTCCTCTGTGCAGAGGTCTTACTCACTTTCAAGTGTCACCTCAATGGGGATAGCTTCCATAATTTTCTTATATAAAACAATAAACCAGACCGGGTGCAGTGGCTCATGTCTGTAATCCCAGCAATTTGGAAGGCCAAGGAAGGTGGATTGCTTGAGCTGAGGAGTTCGAGATCAGCCTGGGCAGCATGGCAAAACCCCATGTCCACAAAAAAATACAAAAATTAGCCTGGCATGGTGGCATATTCCTGTAGTCCCACCTACTCAGGAGGCTGAGGTGGTAGGATCGATTGAGCCTGGGAAGCAGAGGCTGCAGTGAGCCAAGATCACACCACTGCGCTCCAGCCCAGGTGACAGAGTGAGACCCCCATCTCAATAATAATAATAATAATAAATAAAAACATAATAAACCTTCTGCTCCATAGGTAGTTTCTTCCCTGTGTTACTAACCTGTGTTATTCTCTGTAGCACTTACCACCTAACATATTTTTTAAATTTATTTAGATTATTTCTACTTTTATTTCCTATCTACTAAAATGTAAGTGATATGAGTACCAGGGCTTCTACCTTTTATTTCTCACATTATCTCCAGTTCTTAAATCAGTGCCTGGTATAATGAGTGTGTTACAAATATTTGCTAAAATAAATGAATGAACCAGAGATGTGCAACACAAATTAAGAGCAAGAGAATTAAGTTTGCAAAAACATTAATAATTTTCTATTTCTGAAATGAAAGAACAAAATCTCTTGATACATTTTATAATGCCCATCATAAACTAATTTATTTGAGTTGCTCTGCCTCTGTGGATTAATTGCAAATGTGTTCTCACTTAATAGAATCCAGATCAATAGAAGTGACAGCGATTAATTCAGGGTGATTTTTCCCCCCTCCTAGTTCAGAATCCAAATACCAGAGGAAGCAAAGAAAGCCCGCCCAGTTGTTTCTCTTCACAAACACAAAATTGTGGAGCACATCTTGGCTCGACCCAGCTTCTGCCTGAATGCTCTCCATCTGTTTGGTACCATGTGGCACACTAGCATATGCCAAGCAATCAGTCACTCTGCTGTATGCGAAGGGAGACTATGAAAAGATTAATACAATTCCTTTAACTCTGATGAGGAACACAACGGCTCAGTGGCCTCACACATGCATTCTGGAAATTACTGTGCTACAGAAAACTGTTAAACTCATTTCTGGGCTGAGTAAAATATTAAAAAACAATTTGACAGAGCAAGTGCATTGAACAATGTTCATGACAATCCCCTCTAGTCCTCATTTTCTTGCCCAGGTTGACAAGACGCATTGAAAAAAATGTACACAGCAGCCTCAGAAAAAGACGTGTCTTCTGTGTTAGAACACCCAGGCAAGGGACTCTCTGTTAGGCATGAGATGGGAGCAATACAGCCATTCACCCTAGATAGCAACATTGCCACTGATTTTCTGTCCCAAAGATCTCCTCAAGTTTCGAGGAAGCTGAAAAGAGGACTGCAGGGTAACTTCAAGCTTGGTAGAAAGGCAATTTTAACCTGGTTTTCCTAGACACCAGCTTGGAATTTAATAATTGATCCTAAAGCATGGCAGGAACTTCCCATTCAGTTCAAGCTTCTCTCATAATTATCTTCTCTTAACTTTTTTTAACATCTCAAGAAACAGATAACATTTACATTCACCAAAAGTGGAGTCCCTGAGTTGCAATTTCTTTATCACTTCTTCCTTATTAAACATGCAATATATATTCTTTGGTAGATAACTTGGAAAATATAAATGAAGAATACACCTAAATTCCTATAATCCAGCAAAAGACTATTAAAATTTAAGTGTGTAATATTCTTGAAATTTATATTTTGAAAATTGTGTGTGTGTGTGTGTATACATAGTAGACATACAGATGTTTCTCAACTTACAATGGGGTTATGTCCAGGAAAACTCATCATCAGTTGAAAATATTCTAAGTCTAAAATTCATTTAATATACCTAACTTATCAAACATTATATCTTAGCCTAACCTACCTTAAACGTGCTAAGAACACTTACATTAGCCTACAGTTGGGCAAAATTATCTAACACAAAGCCACTTTCATAATAAAATATGAATATCTAACATAATTCATTGAATACTGTATACTATATTGAAACTGCAAATTGGAAACTGTATGTATACAGCATAGTTATTCATAGTTACATATGTTGAAGGACATATATATGTTTTATATATATGTATATATATATACACATATGTGTGTGTGTGTGTGTGTGTGTGTGTGTGTGTATATATATATATACAGAAAACTCAGGAATGCACAAATGATGTTTTACTTACTAATTTACCAGTTCTGCAATATGCCAAGGAAATTATATTCCCAGAGGACAATAAGAGACAAAGAAATTCTGATTACTAGCTGGAATTTTGACCTCGAACTTTCGTGTGGTAGCCTGCTGAACTAAGTAAGTGTGTACCAGGAAGAGCACCTCTTGCTCAGGTTACATAAGCCAAAATGGTCTTATTTTCTGTAACAGCCATTCTTATCTCACCTTTCCTAACTAAGAAAGGATGGTCTATGAGATGAGGACAACACTTCTTTCCAAGCAGGAAAAGACTACAAGCATTGTATTTTCACCACTTGTACTTGTACAACAAAAATTAGAGGGGTTCATGGTTTTCCACCGTACCACAACTCCTTCCAAAAATGACGCTAACATGATAATAAAATACATTTTTAATGACATAAAATTTAAAAAATACAGAGAATGTGAAATAAAATAGAAGAAAACATTTTAGAGATGGGGCCTTATTCTGTTGGCCAGGCTGGAGTGCAGTGACACAATTGTAGCTCACTGCAACCTCACACTCCTGGGCTCAAGCAATCCTTCTGCCTCAGCCTCCCTAGTAGCTAGAACCTCAGGAATGCGCTACCATATCTGGATATTTTTCGTGTGTGTACTTTTTGTAGAAACAGGCTCTTACTATGTTGCCCAGGCTGATCACTCTCTGTGATCATGAGTGTGACATGAACAAACATGAATGTCAAATATGCAAAAACTAATTCATATTTGAACTGCAGATAATTATAAGATACATATTCACTGTCAATCTCAAACTCGACTGCTCATTAAAACTACTTGGGGTACATTGTAAAATCCTAGGATGGACCCTAGAACAACCACTGGTGTTGAGGCCCAGGCAACAGTAGTTCAAAAGCCTCTCCATGCAAAACGAATCTGCAGACAAGTTTGACTAATGGTGGTTTAGAATAGTGGTTCACAAACAGCAGCCCCAAACTAGCAGTATCAGTCTCATCTAGGTACTTTTGTTTTGTTTTGTTTTGTTTTTTTGAGACAGGGTCTCTCTTTGTCCCCCAGGCTGGAGTGCAATGGCATAATCTCGGCTCAATGCAACCTCTGCCCCCCAGGTTCAAGTGACTCTCCTCCCAAGTAGCTGGGACTACAGGAGCGTGCCACCAAGCCCAGCTAATTTTTGTATTTTTAGTAGAGACAGGGTTTTACCATGTTGGCCAGAGTGGTCTCGAACTCCTGACCTCATGTGATCTGCCTGCCTCAGCCTCCCAAAATGCTGGGATTACAACTGTAAGCCACTGAGCCCTGCCTAGGCACTTTTAATAAATGTACAATCTCAACATCTAACTCAGTTGTACAGAAGGAGAAATTCTGGGGGTAGGTACCAGCAATCTGAGTTTTAGAAAGCATTATGGATGATTCTAAAGCATGCTGTAGTTTGAGAACCTCTGCCCTAGGACCTTATCACATAAAGTGTAGTCCACAGACCCACAATTAGGGTTACTGTTGTCCCAGTTTACCAAGAACATTCCTGGGTTAGCACTGAAGTCTCATATCCTCAGCAAACCAGAATGGTTGGCCACCCTACTCTCAGCAATATCATCAGTTGGATGCTTGTTATAAATGAAAAATGTCAGGCCCTGCTCCCAACATTCTAGATCAGAATCTGCATTTTAACAAGATCACCAGATGATTTGCATGCACTTTATGGATTGAGAATCACTGCTTTTGGACAATGGTAGTGAATCTCCAGCCTGCTGCACAATAGAATCACCTAGAAGTCTTTTAAAAAATGGTGGTCCCCAGGCTTTTACCCAAGACTGAACCATAGTCTCTGGGCATGGGAACCCCAGGCATCTGTGTGAATCCAAGTTTGAGAACAACTGCACATTCCAAATGTCATGAAGCAAGAATGAAGTCAATCTTACATAAACTCGTAAACTTCTAGACATATACAGTCCAAAAAAAAAAATATGTTGGAAGTATGTTTTGAGTGTCTATTCAGATAGTAGATACTGTGTTAGGATCCTATGGACACAAAGATGAGTAAGACATAGACCTTTATATGAAGTAATCATAATCTAGTGACAGCATCTCCTTCCTAATCTCTATACTTCATGCATAGAAAAAAAATACTGTTAACAATATAAGTTATTTTAGTGTTTCCCATTTGCTTTCTTTTTTACTGTCTTTCAGCCTTTGCCCTCAAGGTTGGAGAAATTAAGATGTTTTTGATTCAGGTTTCAACAAATCATCACTCTTCTATGAATACGCAACTAAGAAACTTCAACAAAAATTATAGTGAAAAATAAACATTGGTGTCCCAACTAAGGCAGGTATTTAAAGATTCCCTATGTTTTAGACTGAAATGAATCTTGAACTATAATATGTTTTTGTTTTTTAGTTATAAATTTTTGGGCTTCACCTACCCTCAGTAGAACACTTTAGAAAACATTTTTTTGCAGGTATTTTTGAGAATTAAATATATAACCAAGAAATCTTCATGACATATATTAAGCATTAACTGTAAGTTATCTCTCTTTTGAGCACTTCATTAAAATAACATATACAGAATAGAAATTTGCAATCACCCAGCTTAAACAAACTTGAGTATTCCCTTTGCTGGCTAATCTATCAGAGACTGACATGGCCATACATTGTGTATTCAAGTGTGTTACTGAAATGACTCAGTGGCAGAAAGCTTTAGTTCATTAGATAAAAATCAGACTTGGTCTCGCCTTGTAATGAAATCTTCTTACATGCATTTAAGAAAGAATACTGAGTATAATTCTTTGTGGTTGAAATCACTGCATCTATTATTTTCTCCCAAGATACATACATTCTTTAAATTGAACGTGCCACAATCACATTTTACCTTGCTGACACAACTTTTTGAGTGCTAACAATGCTCCTAGATCAATTAAGGAGGACATGAGATAACATCTTCTCCTCAGACAATGGGAACCAGTTTTTTAAAATTTTTTTAATTGTACTTTAAGTTCTAGGGTACATGTGCACAATGTGCAGGTGTGTTACATATGTATACATGTGCCATGTTGGTGTGCTGCACCCATTAATTCGTCATTTACATTAGGTGTATCTCCTAATGCTATCCCCCGCCCCCCAACCACCCCACAACAAGCCCTGGTGTGTGATGTTCCCCATCCTGTGTCCAAGTGTTCTCCTTGTTCAATTCCCACCTATGAGTGAGAACATGCGGTGTTTGGTTTTCTATCCTTGTGATAGTTTGCTCAGAATGATGGTTTCCAGGTTCATCCATGTCCCTACAAAGTACATGAACTCATCCTTTTTTTATGGCTGCATAGTATTCCATGGTGTATATGTGCCACATTTTCTTAATCCAGCCTATCATTGATGGACATTTGGGTTGGTTCCAAGTCTTTGCTATTGTGAGTAGTGCTGCAATAAACATATGTGTGCAAGTGTCTGAATGAGTTTTTAATAATATAGCATCCATGATTTCTTACCCAAAACTCCAAGAACACAGATCTGCTTGATCATTGGCTAGAATTGAAAGAGTATCCTGAGATGGGAGGTCAAGATGTGGAGCAAAGCTTTGTCTATTCAGGTAGCGAGTTCTAAATCTTGGTTTCTGCAGGTTAGGGTGCCAATTTTTTTAGTTATTACTATTTCAGCAACTATGTGTAACTGACCAGGTATTTATCAATTACCCATATCTAGTATATATTCCATCAAAAAGTGATGGTGCAGGCAGTTTGCTTTTGCATTAATGTAATGACTATCCTTATTATTGGTAATACTGTCTTGTCACAAGTGACAAAATCTGGGGCTCAAGTGAAATTCTAAGATATCGCCTTGGAAAGTTTTAAGTATGTGAGACATAGAGCAGTCTGGATGCTTGAACCACTATGACTAGTTCTCATCTGCTTCAGGACTTCAGAAACCAACCTTACACTAGTTTTATTGGTCATTGGGATTCCATTTTCTTGCTTGTCTCTTTTCAAGCATCACTAAAATGTATGCTCTAACTTGGTCAATGGGTCTTCTTACTTTGTGCTTTTAAATATGCAATTGGAAATCACTTTAAATTCGAGTTACCTAAAAATTAATTGCTTTTTATATGATGTTGAAAAAATTTAGCCACATTTTTTCATTACTCTATTAACTATTGTTTTCTGTTCAGAAGCAAATAATTATCCATGACTATATGTCATGGATATTCTAATGACTTAGACAAAGAGGTTTGTTTTCTTTCATAGATCTTTGTTTTAGACAATAGCTTTGAAATCTGAAATGACATTGTATTCCAGGGTATACAGCCAAAGCCTTCCACTTTTCAAAGAGATATTGTTCCTGTATATCATGAAAGGAAATCAATCTCTCAAAAAACTAATGGAGTCTGAAGAGCTATTGGGATTTCCTCAGTCTTCATTGTATTACCAGCTTGCCAGTTTTCTAGAATACCCCAGTCTCACAACAGTATCACGCCTGTTTTGTATGAGTTCATTAATACTTTATGGAAGATAAGGCTGTTTCTCAGATATTTGGGACTGTTCACATACTCTAAGATTCTGAGTTTGAGAATGCCATTTGAGATGGGCACTCACTAAATGACAGCTTAAAGGTGTACTACATCTATGGCTCCTGTGTTCCTGTTCTCATAATGGCTACTGGGATATTTGGCTAATAAGTTGCATGCTAGAAGAATGTAATGAATTTCAAAATTTCTCATATACTGGACATTTCTTGAAATAAAGGCAGCCATTAAGTTCTGATAAGACAAATAGGTCAAATACAAGGCCAAATTAGACTCAAATTCAATACCAAAATCCTTTCTCACATACTCTAGTTATACCTTATTAGAATATATTAGTTTTAGGAAATTTAAATCTGATGCCTTAAGCATATTCTACCCAAATTTTCTCAGGGTTGTTTTATTTGTATTGCAACTTCGGCATTATTCATTTTAGGTATCCAAAAGGATGGATCAGAGTAATTCACAGCATTAGACTTGCATGCTAAATAAGTTTATGCATTTTTCTCACACAAAAACTGTCTTGGCTACAAATCTGAGCTCTAAAGATTCTTTCATTGAGTATATGACTCTTTTAAAATATATAACTCAAGATGCAATTTTATAAAATGTTTTAACTACCTTATACAAATAATACTTTAAAGTGCTGGAAAGTCTTCAGTTTGAATAAAGGCAGTGAGGACCAGTATAAAAAAAATAAGTTGTGGAGAAAATTAAGAGAAGAATAAAAATAAAGAAAAAGCTATATTATAAGAATCGTTTAAAAAATGACTCCTAAATGTTTATGTTCCCTGAATTTTGGAGTAATTATAAATTGAAAATGATAATATAAAAGCTTGTTAAAATAAGGTATGAGATCTGATGTCTCCCTTGTTTTCTCATCTTATAAGAAAAACAAAGAAACCAAGAAACAAAAATCAAACAGTATTGCCTTTTCTTTCTGTAATTACAAGAAGTCAAGAGAACTGGCTAAAATGCACATCCTCTTACAATTTCTTTCTTATGTGCCAGGCCAAACTCCTGAGGGTACTTGTTGAATTTCAGTCTGGTTCACTGCACCTTAGCACCTTAGAGTACTTCCACTGTCACTTTGCGGAAAGATTGCTGGATGGTTGAAACATGGTGATTTAGGACATGAAGGCTGCTGCCCAGGTGACCTGGGTTTAAATGCAAGAAGTTACTCAACCTCCCTATGCTCCACTTAAAAAAGAATCTGTAAAATAAAAGGTAATAGTAACAATATCCACCTCACAGTGTTGTTGTGACAATTAACGAAGCTAATAACTTTTAGAAAGGTTGAAACAATGCCGAGAATATAGTAATCATTATCTCTATTAGCTATAGTTCAAGGGCTGTAGCCCAAGTAAAGGTAAGCCATTTTCTGGTGATGCAGAGTGAGCTGGCCTTGAAGGCCAATAAAATATATGTGAGTACACCCTGCACACTGAAGGATCAGGTAAAGAGATCAAAAGAATTGCCAGACCACACTCATAGGTTATCTGATTTTTGGAATGGACTCTAAGCCTAGGGCTGGATTGCTTCTAGAGATGTCTGCCAGTAACATACTTATGTGAGCCCTTTTATTTTCCAGGAACATACAAACATCAGGCTAGGCTTTCCATACAACAGAAGATCTTCATCTAACTAAGCCAAGGTGATGCTCTTGTAGGTCTGCATAAGTCCTAAGAAATGACTGTCTGTTTTCCTACTGTCTGTGTGATTGATTACACTGGAAAATAGAACAGGTCTCCAGTAAGTAATTACCAAACATATGAGTGACATTTGATGTATATGGGTTTATTTGTTTGTTGTGCTTAAAGTCAACATCCAGAGTATAAATATGAACTAAATTGTGTGCCATATTGTGAGAAAACTCAAATGAGAATGTTAATTTATAAGGAAGAAACCATAAATGTTACTATTAATTTTTTTGAAAAACAAAGCATAGTATTATTAAAATAAGTCATATCTCCTAGTACATTTAAAACGTTTTTCAACATTCAGCAACTCTTGGCCATAGTAGTGCCAATAAATGTGTGTTGAATTGAATGTTTGATCAAGAGACACTAAACATGGATGGAATACTGTATTGGGATTCAAACCATCTTTTCCTTGAACAAATAATACACAAATAATTTCCTCTCAGTTCAATTTCTGTGAACATTTATTTGAACCACAACAACACTAAAATTACTTTCAGTTAGAATGTTACTAATTTTATTGACAATTTTCAATTAAAATATGTGAATTTAAAAAATTTAAAAATATGTTACCAATATCCTTTGTATTAACTAATGTGGTTCATAAATTACTTACTGCTGCATGCTGTTTAAAAAGAGGAGGAGTAGAAATAAACCACTTAGAAGCAAAGTTTAAACTTTTACTTCCTCTGTTTCTTGTTAACAATTATTATTTTATTTAAATGTTATTAAAAGAAACAGTTTTTCTGAGATACTTGGCTTTTTAATTATACATATATATACATGTATATGTATATAATCTCCAGAGAATGTAACCTTTAACCATGAGAACTATGAAGACTCTAGAGTTTTCTTTTTAATACGAAATTCAATTAGTCCATTTTACTGTAGCATGGCTTTTGACTTCACTCTCCAGCAATATGGATGCTGTCTGAATTCTGTTTTCATATCTACAGCAGGATGGCAATTTTGTTTGCAAAACTTTTAGTTTAATTTTCATATCTAGCCAACTTTAATTCATGCAGTTATTCAGGTCTGAGATTGCACATTTCTCAAATCTCACTTTCTGGCCTGCTCTCACCCTAAACAGGTGCAGTTCGGGAGAAATAACAGACTTTACTATGCACTGTTAATATAATCCCTTTTAGTTCCCCATCTCTCCTCTGAACTACGATTTTTGCAGCTCCCAAGATGTCATTCCTCACCACAACTTCCTCCCTAAATCCATGCTGGCTTGTTGTTTTCTGAGTATCTCTCTCTCCTGATGAGAAACCAATATTGAAGAAAGAAGAATGTTGAAGGAAGAAACCAATGTTGAGAAAGAACTAAAATGGATGAAGAAAAATTAGTACACACAGGGAAGAGCAGTAGCTCATTTTCAAGGTTGACATAAATTTACTTTTCAGCCCAGTATTACAAATAATTTGTTTTAAATAAAACGTTATGTCTACCTATCTAGAGAAGTTTAAGGAGTGGTCAGCTACCACTTTTGCTTTTTTTTTTTTTTTTTTTTTTTTTGACTTGGCTGAGAAGAGACTACACAAATTGTATTTTTAAAATATGATTCCTCTCAAATTGCAATTACTAAAAACTTCTAATTTTGACCACAGGTTGACCTTTCCTTCTTGCTTTTATTTTCTCTGTTTTCCAGTATATTTTACTAAGAATATGGAAGAAAATAGCAGGTCAACAATTTGCGGGGGCAATATAATTTTTTAAAAGTTTGATTGAGATATAATTCACATACCATAAAATCCATCCATTTAAAGTGAACAATTCTATGACTTTTAGTATGTTCACAGAGTTGTGCAACCATCACCACAATCAATTTTAGGATATTTAAATCAACATTATAAAGAAGTCCTGCATTCAGTAGCAATCATTCACCATTTCTCCTACAACTTCCCAGCCCAAGGCAACTACTCATATATATTGTCTCTATAGATTTGCTTATTCTGGATATTTCATACAAAGGAATCACACAATATCATCTTTTTAAATTGGCTTCTTTCACCTGGCATAATATTTTCAAGGTTCATCCAAGTGTTAGCATGTATCAGCACTTCATTCCTTTTTAGGACCAAGTGATACTCCACTATATTTATATAACACACTTTGCTTATCCATAAATCAGTTACTGAACATTTGCCTTGGTTCCATTGTTTGGCTATTGTAAGTAATGCCGTTCTAAATATTTGTGTACAAGTTTTGTGTGGATGTGTGTTTATTTCACTTTCATTTATCTTGGGTATATGAGTATGTCTAGGAGTAGAATTGCTGGGTACTATGGTAACTTTATGTGTAATGTTTTGAGGAAATGTCAAAATATTTTCCAAACTGACTGCATCACTTTACATTCGAACCAACAACATTTGAGGGTCCCAAGTTTTGAACATTCTGGCCAATACTTTTCATTATCTATTATATTAAAGCTACCCTGGTAGGTCTGAAGTAGTAGCTCACTGAGGCCTTGATTTGCATTTCTCTAATGGGTAATTTCTCTAATGATATGGAGCATCAATTCATGTGCTTACTGGCTATTTATAGATCTTTGGAAAAATATGTATTCAGATCATTTGCACATTTTTATATGCAAATGTATATATATGCAATGTATATATATGCAAATGTATATGCACATTGTGTTATATAAATGCACAATTGGGTCATTTATATTTTTGTTACTGAGTTGTAAGGATTCTTTATGTATTCTGGGTACAACTTCTTTATCAGACATATGATTTGTAAATATCTATTCTATATCCGTGTTGTCTTTCTTATTGGTAGACTTTGCAGTGCAAAGTTTTTAATTTTAATGTATACATTTTTTCTATTTATTTTTCTTTCATCACTTATACTTTTAGAATCACCCAAAGCCTCCTACGTTACTCTGTAGGAACCCTTCTGATTACAGTGAACTCATACAGATAAGCTAGAATAACTTTTCCATCTGAATACCTCTAATTTAATGACATCATCAAAGTTTACTTGCCATTTAAGGTCACATATTTACAGTTTCTGGGAAATATGGCCTGAACATCTGTAGGAGTAATTATACTGTAACCTCAATGCTTAAATAATTATTTCATACTTTTTTTTCGCTGTTGTTGTTATACCTATTATATCTTTATATATTACAAACACAACAATTTATTGTTACAATTATTAATTTAGATTATTTTAAGTTTTTAAAAAGCTGGAAGAAGAAAGGAGACTAAGCATATATTTATAAGGTTTGTTGTATTTACATTTTTATTTACTATTATTTAATATCTTCATTGCTTCCTGTGGATTCATATTGTGACCTGAATTTTTTTATACTGTAATACACCTCTGACCTCATTCACCATACTTGTGTTGTTACTACCAAATATATTACATTGTTACATGTAATAGGCCCAACAATACAATTAAATATATATTGTGTTATGCAATTGCTCTTTAAATAGGTGAGAGGAGAAAGAAGTATGCAATTATACTCTCTTTTATACATCCCTACATAATTACCTTTACAGATTCTTTTTGTCATGTGTACATTCAAATTACTGTCTGGCATCAGTTGATTTCAATGTAAAGAATTTCCCCTGCTATTTCTTATAATGCACATTTGTCAGAAAAAATACCTCTTGGTTTTTGTTGATCATTTCTTGAAGACAGTATTGCCAGATTTAAAAATTTGGCTGATTTTTTTCCCTAGTACTTTGACTATTTCATCCAATTGACCTCTGGACTCCACTGTTTCTGATGATAAGAGAGTGGTTAATATCACTGGGCTTTTTTAAATGTGAAAAGTACATTTTTTTCTGGCTACTTTTAATATTTTCTTAATATATTTGTTTTTTGATGGTTTTACTATGATGTGTCTGTGTGTAGATCTCTTTGCATTTATTCTATTTAGAATCCACTGAGTTTCTTGGATGTGTAATTTAATATTTTAATATAATTTGGAAAGTGTTTGGACACTATTTCTTCATGTACTTTTTCTGCTCATTTGTCTTTCTCCTCTCTCTGATAATCTCAGTAGCTATATGTTGGTGTGCTTAATGTTGTCCCACATTTCTCTGAAGCTTTTTGAAAATTTTTCTTCTTTATTTTTCTTCTCTGCTTTTCACATTTGGGTGCAGATATTGATCTACCTTCAAGTTTGCTAATGCTTTCTTCTGTGAGCTTAAATCTACTGCTTAGCTTTTCTAGTAAAATTTGTTTACTCATTTTACAACTTCAGAATTTCAATTTTTTATATTTCTATATCTTTATTGGCAGTTCTTTTTTTTATCTGATGACATAATACCACCAAACCTTTCATCACGGTTTCCTTTCATTTTTTTGGCAAATATTTATCATAGGTGCTCTGATTTTTTTTCTGCTAAGTCTAACATCCTGGCCCTGTCAAATACAATGCCTGTTAATTAGTTATTCTTTCCTGGGTATCAAAATACATTTATGTTTCTTTGTATATCTCATATTTGCTTTTATGTTAACTGCACAATTTAGGTAACATATTCCAGCAACAATGGTGTTGGAGGCACCAACAGAAGATTGGAAGCCTGGGGGAATGAATGACAGTCAGATTTTTTTTTTCCTGCTAGCCCCACTACCTGCCTATTCTATATTTTTCGGTATAATTTTGTCTTTTTGTAACTATAGCTCCTACCAGATTACACTCTTTCCTAACGTCAGTGCTCACATGGCTCTGGTAACTCTTTCCTCCCCTTCACTCAATGGAGCTTTTTCTTACCGCTGCTGGTTTCTAGGGCCTCATCATGTCTTGCTGGTTCCCTTACCTTTGTCAACTATAAAGTCTCATTTCAAAATATCAGCTAAGTATGGATTATATTTCCTAATGGATCCATGACTTGTTAGCTTGGTGAGAATCTTAGCTTCCAGCTTAGCACATGTAACTACAGATCAGATATTTAGTCTCCTATTTTTGAAAGTTCTCTGATAGTGCACATTTATTGTCTATTCATAGATTTTAGGCCACTTTTTAGGACCCAGAATCTGTCATTATTCCTATTTATTAGCTATAGATATTGGCCCAGGCATGTATTTATCAAATATATATTTATCAAAGAAAATATATATTTATCAAAGTGTATTGAATAACTCAGGAAATTTCAGGAAGGCTAGGGAATCATGCCTGGAAAATTGGGCAGGAACAAAGTAGGACAGTCATCAGATAGGACCACAGTCAAACTCAGTAACATTAGTCCAATGAAGAGACTGCTACAGTTTCCACAGAACATAAGCAACCTGTTTAAATTGCCGCTAGCAATACTGAACACTGGACACTGTGCTATGCCGCCTCTGGGATTTGTCCCTGCAACTAATGCTGCACACTGGCAGAATGGGTTCTTTGCTCTTGTCTCCCAATTTCAAGCCCAGAGTTGGTGAATCAGTTTAAGAAAACCAGTATTTCATGTCATGCCCTGAGAAAACTGGTATCTGGCATTTTCAGCTTGCATGGTAGAAAGCAGTCTGTATCTCCACTGACGCTCCAAGTAAGAAATTGTCCATCCATAAAATGGGAACTGGATGCTTGTCATAGAGGACATGATAAGTGACCACCACCATATACCTATTTGTCTGCCAAGCATTTGTTATTTTTGGCTCTCTAGTATACAAAACCTTTTCACATAGTTCCACTTCAAAAATGAAAATGAAATAAAGCAACCCTGTCCTAATGTAATACACTATGCTTTATGAAACCAAAATGCATTCTCACCTTCTGCAAAGAAGAGCAACTCAAAATTTCATCAGTTACTACATTTAGCTAGAACACCAGGATCTCTAGAGAAATGTTTATTACTTCTTCTGACCTCAATACATCTTCATAGATACACACACACACACACACACACACACACACACACACACACTTCAGTTACTTGTTTCTTTTATTTTTGTGTAAAATATTTTCCCTGCTTAATTGAAATACCATTAACAAATAAAAATTCTATATATTGAAAGTATACAACATAATGTTTTGATAAACATATACACTGCAAAATGATTGCCAAAATCATGTCTTTATATTTTTTAACCATAGAATTATTACCAAGCATGTGCTATAGAAAACAGTAGAAGAAATGAAACTGAAAGAAAATGAAAGAGGAATGAAAATACAGAACTTCGTTTCTCCTCTATTTGGGGTTGTTTACCTACTAAAGAGGTTAAGTAACTAAAATCTTTTTTCAGACATAGAAATTGTGCTCCATGTGCCTAATACCCAAGTCTATGGATTACTTTCTATGCTTTAAATGAAGAAATTTTTGTCATCTCCATATCCTGTAGTCCAAGGTGCTGTTGAATCTAGTTTCAGTTAACTAACTAAATTAAACTCACAAAAGCCCCAGGCTGCTTAATGTGTCATACCAATCTATAATCTTTGAAAAACTTGATAAACTTTGGGATGGGGGAAGGTAGATGGAAGTAGGTTTTTCCTGCTGTTCACTGAAGTCTTGGGAGTGCATTGATAAAAGAGAGGTTAAAACTGTCCAAAGAGTGTACAAGGTCAAATCAAAATGCACGGTGGACATTATTCTCATTTGGCACTTAAAATAACAGAAGTGGGTTTTCTGAAGAAAAAAAAAACATGAATAAACTAAAAATGATTATCAGCTTGCATTATTTATGCTTAAGATCAATTACAAAAGCTACCTACATTTACAATTGCTTTTTGAAAAGTGGATATTTTCAAGTGCTCATGTTATGATCAATTTCAGCAGTACGTATTGCTCTGAATAATGTAGTTTCTTTTAAAGACATGACATACAGCTATGGCTTTCTTTTTCTTTCTTAGGCCAATGATAAGCATCAAGTAGAATGTCTTTCTTCATAGTAAGCAATTCACTATGTGTTGACAACATTTCATCAGCATATTTCTAGACATCTCACTAAATTCAAGCTTCTTACCAAGATTTATGATGTTCTTACTTTTTGTCAATCATTTCCCCAGTGGCGTGAAGTCAGAAACAGCAGAATTTTGCAATTCATAGACTACTGCAGCCTCATTATCAGCAGAAACTCCTTGACCCATAATCTTCAAATCATGCAGCATTGCATGATTCTTAAATACCTTAATCTACCCTAACTCAGTCTACTTCTCAGCTCCTTCGCTAAGTCACCATACTCCTTTATCGTGGCCTTATTCAGGTCTTTAAATATGTTTGGCACTTTCTGCTGTACCAATATGATGTTCAGGGTCAGCCAACACTGATTGTGGTTCACATGCACTGGGCATGTTAATTCTCTGATTTTTTTTTCAAAATTAATATGCCATATATAGGTAACATATTGAAATTTTCCAGAACCAGTGAGGCAGGACAATAGGGTCTGGAGTCAGGGAACCTAACACTGAGCTGACCTCCTAGAACTGAATCAGAAGGAAAACCCCACCTCTCCACATCCAAGTAACAAAAGGATCAGACGCTACTCCCTTGCCCAAATAAAAAATGGAAAGTATCTCTGATTGGTCCCCTCCCCCAACCAGTCTTCATGTATAATTTTGTAACTTTACTTCAGCCTCTGATTGGCCCCCTCCCACAACCAATCAGACTGGTCATGGCCCACTGCTTCATTTATATAGGGTGTAACCAATTAACCAATGGGAAACCTCTAGAGGGTATTTAAACCCCAGAAATTTCTGTAACCAGAGTTCTTGAGCCGCTTGCTCTAACCTACTCCCACTCTGTGGAGTGTACTTTCATTTCATTACATCTGTGCTTTTGTTGCTTCATTCTTTCACTGCTTTGTTTGTGTACTTTTTCCAATTCTTTGTTCAAAATGCCAAGAACCTGGACGACTCGTAGTCAAGACCCTCCACTGGTAAAACTAGCAATAGCTGTCTTTCATAATTGTTATTTATTTTCCCATGCTGAGAAACAACTCACTTAAACAGTTATTGGGAATATGTGTATGGCCATGATCATGTATTTTAAGTAGTCACCTCTGTTAAAATGCTTTATTACCTCAAATGTTTTTTCTAATATATAATTTTGGTGCCTCTTAGGCTCACCTATTTTCTTCACAGCATTTCTACTTCGTTAGACTTTTTAAACTTACTCATGTAGGAATAAATGATAGCAAAAAATACACATCATATTTTTAAATGCAAGTACAAGACAAAAATTTATTGAGGAAATCACTGAGGTAAAACTACAACATACTCTGCATATTTTCACATTAATATCCATGCAATTTAAATGTTTTCACTGAAACTTGCTTGTAGGTTTGTTATACCAGGTTTTCAATTTGGATAGTAAGAATTGGCTAATTTCATTGAAAGGTATTATAACATCTATTCAGATGATTAGAGTTCACGTAGCATGGAATACATTCGTTTAGCCATTGCATGCTAGGGATTAACAGAATTATTTCCCCAAATGTTAGTTGTGTTTTTCACATCAACTCTGTCCAGAAAATCCATCTCAGATTGTCTGCATTTTCTTGAGCTTCTGTGATCACTTCTTGTGCCAGTTAGATTCTTTGTTTTGTGTAACAGGAGCAAACTTGTTAATTTAAACAGAATATTTATGTAGAGGGCAGCAAGCAGTACACAAAAGAGTCAGGAAGATTGAAGAATCAGGTTGGAAAAATGGCCAAGAAGAGGAAAAGCCAGGTTGCAGTTAGCAGCAGACTGGCTGCCACATCAAATATCAGCTCTGTGAGAACTGTCTGGCTGCTGCTGCTGCTGCACAGCACATATGCCAGCTTGCACTTCTGTCACTGTCAGCACCAAATACTGTATTCTCCCTGTGCACTGCACTGCTTCTACTATTGCTGCTCCTATTCCTGGGGCCTTGATGATGTTGCCACTATTGCTAAAATTGGTGTTCTATGGTTTTTGCCCTAAATTCCAATTCAAAGTCTAAGGTGGGAAAAACTGACTTGAAAAACTAGATCACATGCTCTCAATCTAGCTGCAAGAGAGGCTGAAAATCTCACAGTTCTCTAGGAAGAGATGGACTTTTTCTTTTTGATACTCAGAGTCAGAGTAACCCACACGTGGGAAGAATTATCAGATAGCCATCTGACATCAACTCACCTCTATTGCACATCTTATGAATTTTCCATGGTTTCAATGAGTTGAAGGTATTGACTTGTCAGCAAAATAGACAATCAGAAACCCTAAATATAAGTTGATGGATCAATGGAATTCATTAACATAGAGACAATGGATAATGGGCATAAAAACATTATTGTTGGTTTTAATTTGTGATTGAAACTACAAATCCAATATTATTATGAATGTGCTGTAAGTTTTTCTTTTATTGTGGAGTTAGAACTTCAAGAATTTACCCGTTATGAATGAATCTGAATAAGCATTTATGAAATGACTGACCTGGGTTAAATATGTACACTGTGGACATGAAAACGTGTGAAAATAATGAGCCCGTAGGAGACATGAGGTCTTGACCTGAGATTAATCAAGCTCTCACCTGCTGAGTTAGCCATCTGTATACGTAATCTTATTCTTCTTTTCTAACAAGCTTACATGAAACATATACTGAAAAGAATGATAAATTTTCAGGCTGATGCTAGATTTTGTCAAAAGACTTAGACCAAGTTTATATTTCTTAGCTCTATTGTTCTGCTATCTCAAACCCTTTATCTCCTCTCCTGTCTGAAAAACTGGCATTTTTGAAATCTCTTCACTGAGAAGACGGCAAGTAAAAATGGCAGAGGGGCTTGAAGTATGGCTATTGTTTACATGTAATATAAAAATAATCCAGTGTTTTAGAGCACATTCCCCAAATAAACATTTTTTCTTTTGGTAACTCTACTGTGCTCTTTTTCTCTGTGCATATATATTATATATAACATACATAAGATAATATATATGTATTATATATCATATATGTTATATATAATGTTATATATATTTATATAATACATAGTTCAATATTTCTCCTATTTCCTCAAGCCATATGTGTAAACATTGCATATAGAGTATTTAAACAAACAGTAATGATTATAATAATGGATTGAGTTTTTACTGTATGCAAAAGTGTCAGCTAGGCATTTTCTTGTGTGAATTATTTCTAATTATTCAAACATCTCCACCAGATTTATATATCAACAGAGAGGAAACATAATTTTTTCAGTGTTACAGAACTCTTAAATATTGTGTTAGAACTGAGTACACATTGCCCACATCTGAGGTCCCAGAAAACTATTTGAGGACTGATACATAAAGAAAAAAAATCAAGAGTCTATCCACCTTTTCCATTGTGAACTGTACTTAAGGATAACCAATTAATTAAGTTGTGAAAATTCTCCTCCAGATTCTAAACGAAGAATAGTAGAGTCAGAATGTCAGCATTTTGCAACTTCAAGAAAAATAATGACCTAATAACAGCTAAAAACACAAAGGAGAAAAAGCTAGACATTATGTGCCTCCTGGTGTTAGTACACAGCACCACATTTCAGAATCTGGACAAGGCTCTTAACAGTAACATGGCACAGAGAAACATGTTAAATAATACCACAGGGATGAAATCAACCAAATCCATACTGTGCATAACCACCTGAATAGTCAATAAATAAACTTCTAGAGAGAGAGAGAGAGAGGGGTGTGTGTGTGGGGGAGGGAGAGAGAGAGAGAGAGAGAGACTATGTAAAGGAGACTCTTGCAATTTATCATCCAAATGCAATGTATAGATTTTATCAAGATCTTGATTCTTTTAAAAATTATCAAATAGAGATACTTAAACACTGCCAAAATATTTGGTGTTATTAAACAATTAACTTTACACATGTTTTAGGCATAATAAACAGCAATATTGTGGTTATGTTTAAAAAGTCTTACATTTTAGATATCCCTAATAAATATCTATTGATTAAAGTACATATATTTTACATTTGTATCGATTATCCTTAAGGAAGAGGTGGAAGAAGGTGGGGTGTACAGATGTAAGACTGAAATTGGAAGATGCGACATTGGAATTTTCTCTTATCAGTCTTTCCACATTTGTAAATATTGATCCATAATTTTAAAAATAAGTATAATTTTTTAAAAAATTTAAAATGCAAAGGGGAAATTGTGAGTCTTTTTGACTTCCTATAGTTAATATCAAACACCCCAACATATTAATTTTTTTTCAAATTTTTTACTCCCTATTAGTGACATATCAACAGTAAATCATGTTCGCACCATGAAAGATGATTTCTCTAGGTTTCAGAAGACTCAGAAAGTGTGCCAGTTGTGTTTGTTGATAATCAGTATCTTGCCTACTCTTCTAGACCTGTTGTTTGATTGTGGTAGTATAAAGCCTTAAAATATTATTTACCATATACCCTTTCTAATAGCTTTCTATTTTAATTCTTCAGTGGAAGGCACTCAGGTAAAATTGGATAGACTGGGGAGAAGGAGAAGCCATTTAAAGGAAACCTATTTTTACCCACAGAACATTTCTGACACCAAATGTTTATCAAGTTTTCCCGCACCAACTGACTCACCAACTGTACAGATACCAACTTGATGTCCTACAGTTTAATTCTGCAACTACTTGGAGTTAGTGCAGATCCAAGAGATTAAGGGCTCAGTCCCACAAGTCTGTTTACCTCTTCAAATGCCAATCACAAGATCCAGGTTGTCACCTATACTTCTGACCAACCAGTTATAAATCAGAACTTCTCACCCTCCTCATGTCAAATAATTTGCTAAAACAGCTCACAAAACTCAAGCAAATATTTACTTAAATTTACCACTGTATTGTAAAGGATATTAGAAAGAATACAGATGAACAGCCAGATGAAGAGGTATGTACATAGAATGGGGACTGAGGGTTCCTGAGCACAGGAGCTTCTGTGCCCAAGGAGTTGTGATGTGACACTCTCCAAGCACATCAATATATTCAATGCCCAGAAGTTCTCTGAACCTGTAGTTGAGGGATTGTTATGGAGGCTTCATCACATAGGCATGATTGATTACTAACTCAATTCCCAGCGTCTCTGAGGCTGAAAGTTTCAAGTTTCTAATCATGGCTTGGTCTTCCTGGCAACCAGCCCCCAACTTGAAGCTGTCCAGGACCCTACCAAGTGTTGCCTCATTAGAACAAAAGATATTTTTATCACCCGGGAAATTCCAAGAAGTTAAGGAGCTCTATGTCACAAACCAGGGTCAAAGGTCAAATTGAACAAAGGATGCTCTTAGCACCCTATCACTCAGGGAACTACAGGGGTTTTAGGAGCTCTATGTCAAGAGACAGGTGTAGAGACCAAATATATATTTTCTCTTATGCCACAGCATTATTTGCTATCAGCAGATGAAAGCATATATAAGTGTGTCTGTGGCAACTGGCAGAGCACAGAAGTAGAGTTTTGCTTACAGCTTTCAGGCTTCCTCCTTAGAAACACTCACTTAGGTATGGAAGCTTTGGTGGCAGCTTCTCTGAAATTCCTCCATGAACAGGAATGACACTAAGCAGGGATGGTGATAATTGCCGATTTATTCATCTGAGTGTTGGTTACCAGAGTGCTTAGTGTGTGAAAATCATTGTGCTCTATACTATGATATGTGCACTTTTCTGTGTATGTGCTACTTCACTCCAGTAAAATGTTAAGACAAAAAAAACAAGAATAGAACATGGTAAAAAAAAAAAAAAACTATCTATATGCCTTTTCACATTTGTTTCAATTGAACAAGAAAAGAAGGTCTACCCTGTGGTGCTGAAAGACAGAAAAGGCTGATTACAGATAAATTCATATCTGCATTATTTATGGATATCTAAACTGCAAGTCAACCAATTAAGACCTCAGTTTTAGATTAACCCTATGCCAAATGCAGAGCAATGATAGATCTTTCTTATGTGAATTGAAGCATTCTATGGTTCACATTCAATTTGAACTTTGATAGCAATTTTGGGGATTCTATCAGGGCCTATACCTGCATTAGGAATTGTGAAATATTGTGAGAAACATTTCCTGGCTCATTTCAGTTTGGTATATAATAACTCAGCTTCACTGGTAATGGTATCTCAAGGTGGAGGCCATAAAACTTGTGCATGAAAGAATTACAGGGAAAGAAATATGAGCCTCACGTTCCGACCTGAGGGTCAGAGAGTGGACTTGTAGATACAAAACTCAGGGAGACTTCTTCTTTGGAGGAGGATTAGGATAGGGAATTATGTGTATGAGGGAAAGGAATTAGGAGTTGCTCTGTTTGACAGATTTAACCCATTTTAGAGCCATCAAAGTTAAACATAATGTAGACTATAAAATTACATTTTGATGAGACATTATTTAACACATTGATCTTAACATACTGATGCATAAAATAATATATATGTTTTTGGAGATAATTTGTAATATTTTAGATATGGGGAATTATTTGTCATTAGGTTAATTGGTCATACAAATGTTCAAATAATCACATCAATTCTAACACAATCAATCTTAAGTATTATATATAAAATATATAATACATATTTATACACATAACAAATATTATTATATATACAGACATAAGTATTATATATAATTAATAATATTAAAATATACTTAATCATATAATTATAAAAATATAATATATAAGTATTATATATAATTATATATAAGTATTATATATAATACTTATATATAATTATTATATACAACACTTATATATAATACTTATATATAATTATTATATACAACACTTATATATAATACTTATATATAATTATTATATAAGTGTTACATATAACACTTTTATATATAAGTATTATATATAAGTATTATATATAACACTTATTAGATATAAGTATTATATATAACACTTATTAGATATAAGTATTATATATATTATATATAAGTTATATATTATATATGTATTATATATATTATATATAATATATGTAAGTATAATATATAATAAGTATTATATATAATACTTATGTCTGTGTACATACATACCCTAATCAAATATAATACTTATGTCATGTGTACTCATATATATACCCTAATCAAAACTAACATTGTATACTGTGTTCTATTTCACAGAGTATTTTGACACTTTCCTTTAGGAATGACGTTACATATATCAAACATTCTGCATGCACTACATAGAGACCAACAATTCCTACGAAATCATAGTCAAAACAATCTGTTCATATTTCCCAAAGAAAATGTGGTTTTAAATTTTTAAAAATGGTAATATAAGACAATATTATCTTTGTAAGAAACTCAAACATTACCAAACAAAGAAAATACTATTAGAAAGTCCTTGATCTCCTCCCTGTTATCCACTTAAGACCATAGAGGAAAAAAAAAAACACAATTATTAACAATTACTATGCATTTTTCATACCTTTTTTATGCTTTACAAGTCAATATGCATGTATCTACCTTTTTCTTCATACATAATAGGATTTTTAAAACTTAAATGGATCATTGTTTTCTGTAACTCTTCCTCGCACTTAATATATTCTGAAGTGGTGTCCCATGTTAGTAGACATATATATATATATATATAAATATATTTAACCACTGCATATTCTTCAACATTATGAATGTATCATAATTTTGTTGACACTTATTTCCAAAATGTTCACTATTATAAATAACAATATAAGAACTTACAACTTCACATAATATGCTTCTAAGCACAGGCTCTGGGGTCAGACTTTTCTGCTATCTAAGTAGTGTGAACCCTTGACTGAGGTATTTCACTATTTTGAGATTAAATATTCTTAACCTATAAAAAAGAAACAATAAGTACCAACATCACAGGGTTACTATGAGTATTAAATAAGTAACAGGCCCTTAGCATAGAGCCTGCAATCTAGTAAATATTTAGCAAATATTAGATAATACTACTATATACATATAGTTAGTGTATAAGGCATCTTTATAACATATATACTTTATACATAATGTATAACATTTATAATGTATTTTATAACATATAAAATGCCTCTAACATACTGAGATATAAAATGCTCAATATATGTTAGTATATTTTTAATACATTCTCTATTAACACTTAATGTTTACAAGAACTATAAAAGTAGTTAAGAACTATGAAAGTAGTACTATAAAAGTAGTTCTTATAAACATTTATAGTAGTTTCATAAAAGTGGAACACTGAAAAGTACCAATCATTTGTTAGTAATGTCATTTGTCAATATTTTCAGCCAGTCAAGATATTCTTGATATAATATTTACACATTTTTATGAGGTACATGTCATATTTTGTTACATGTATAGAATGTGTAGTGATCAAAGTCAAGCTATATAGGGTATCCATCCTCTTAAGTATTTATCATTTCTATGTGGTAGTGACATTTCAAATCCTCTCTTCTAACTATTTTGAAATGTACAATACGTTATTATTAACTATAGTCACCCTACTCTGCTATCAAACATTGGTACTTATTTCTTCAATTTAACTGTATGTTTGTACCCATGCACCAAGCTCTCTTCATCTCCCACCCCACATAAACACTCTTCCCAACCTCTGTCATTCTCCTCTCTCCCTCTATGAGATCAACTTTTAATTCCCACATAGGGCATATGGCAACCAAGCAATACTTGTCTTTCTGTGTCTGGCTTGTTTCACTCATTTAACATAATGATTTCCAGTTTCCTCCATGTAGCTAAAAACAACAGGAATTTCATCGTTTTTATGGCTGGACACTATTCCACTGTGTCTATATACCACAGTTTCTTTATTCACTTATCTGCTGTGGGACACTTAGTTTGACACCATATCTTTGCTATTGTGAATGGAGCTACAGTAAACATGCGAGTGCAGGTGTCCCTTTGATATAACTATTCCCTATCCTTTGGATAAATACCCTGTAAAGCGATTGCTAAATCATTTTCAACTACATATAGTCTCTTGTTTTATGAACTGTTTTTTTTCAATTTTATGAGCACAAATTACTCAGCCTTTTCCTTATGGTTTTAGGGATTTGTGTCCCGCTTAGAAAAACATTTTACAAAAATTAAAACAATATTACCTTATAGTGGACTATAATTTATGTATTTTTCATGTTACCCTCTAATCCCTTCTGGAATATATATTTTTATATCACGTGAAGTAGGCATTCAGTTTTAATTTTTTTCCAAATGAAAAGTCAATTGCTTTTAAGTCATTTTTATTACTTTGCCCCATGGATTTGAAATGTCACTTTTAATGATATAATAGATAACTTCACATGCATGAATCTCTTCATAGACTCTTTATTTGGTCATTGAGATTAACTTTTTTTAAATTTTGAGATATATTTGGTTGCTTTGAATATGAATGTTAACCTTCCCATGTAGACATAGTTGGAAAGATTGCCAACCACAGGTATGTATTCCTTTTTCCAGAATAGCATAACAATCTTCGGTGTATTCATTATTCTACAATATGGGTTGGGGCCTGGAGAAAATTAGAAAAGTGTCCCCAGTCTGTCCCCAAATTTAACTATTAGAAAGTCCTTGCTCTCTTCCCTGTTATCCACTTCAGACCACAGAGGAAAAAAATAAAAATAAAAACACTTATTAATAATTACTATGCATTTTAGTACCTTTTTTATGCTTTTCAAATCAATATGCATGTATCTACCTTTTTCTTTTCCCTCTCTGCTGGAGCTGATCTTGTCTCTAATTATTAGAAATGGACATGAAATGCTGCAGGCTGTGTAGTAGATATTTTCTGTCTAGCCTCTACTTTAGTCATCACAACTTTCCCCCAATCATTAGGGGATTTGCAAATATTAATTCTTTTTTTTCTTTTTGTCATTAGCCACGTTGACTAGTTCCTCTGCCTACTTATTTTCCTTTTTAGGCCCAAACATTATATCCTTTGCCTTTTGAGCCCTACAAGAGTATCTCTTCCTACTATATTTTCTGAATAGATTCTACTTTTTTGCAGTAGTTTCTATTATCTGTTTCACAGAGGAGAATGCTGGGTGAGGCTCAAAGAGCTTCAATGACTTGCCTCAGAAATGACAGGATGGACCTTGTGTAACCCAGTGATGTATTCATAATCGACAGTTGCCAAGTTGATGCTCCATTATTACCTTGGTAAATTGTTGTAAATATTTGTGGGTCATGTTAGATGCTAGCAGTAGATCAGTAGATAAGGATTCTTTCTAAAATGATTTAAGGACTTGGCATACCCTAAGGCCTGATTATCCGCCTTTGAGGTGCTTGTAGTAGCGTGGGAAGAATGCACTATCTCCTTCTACTCCAGCATAACCTCTCAGTGTATGAAGGAGTGTAATAGTGCATGCATCATCTGTTATGGTGTGTGCCATGATCACTCAACTCAAAATAATGCTCTGGCCCTTTAAGTTAAATAATAGTGTAAATGGGTGTTCAAAAGTGTTGAAAAGTAGGACAGTGATCCAGAAAGACTGAGGTACTTGCTTTAAAGGGGAAGTATAGCTCTATAATCTGTAATTTAACTGTACACATTTGCATGCCTCTTTATCTCACTCTGAAAAGTTAATGTAATTGGAATTAACAGTTCATAGGAAAATAAGTGATTTCCAATGACCATTATGGCAAATTATGAGACCTTAAATGATAACTATGTTTTTCATTAACATATTATTTGGCTAAGATGAAGATTAATAATTTTCCTTCATCTATTATAAGGATATTAAATTTTTATTTCATTAACAAGTTCAAGCTATAGGGTTCAGCCAAGCCTCTGAAATGCCACCAAATTTAAGTCTATAAAGAAGTATTTTATATTATAATTTGAACTGTAAAAAAGAAACATTTTATTTGAAAGGGTAAATTTTAGGACTTCAAATTTAAATTAGAAAAAAATTGCTTTCTCTGTTACTGTACTTAATTTTATCTAAATGAACATAAAACAAAAATATATATGTATATATTTGAAGGTTCAAATGTAGCTTATTTTCGAAAACCAATCTGGTTAAATCATCTTACAGACATATTGTAATAAGCTAAGTGGTAAGAACTTAGTATAGTTTAAACAGAAAAACTGAAAAGAAGTTGAGCTGCAGAGTTAATTAGTGTAATATTTATAAAATGCTTGGAACTAGAAGTCAGCAGAGATTTCGTCTAAATTTTATGGAAACTAACTCTGTAACATGGGAAAGCCAATTACCATTCTGCAGCTTAGGTAAAAGGAGAAACTTGGAATCAAAGTCTTGAAGTTCTCTTCCTGAAATAAAAAATGAGTAAATGCAGTCTCAATGTGATAGCATAGTTGTTATCACATATATTTATTTTTGCTAGTTTAATGTTGAGTCTATTGTAATCCATCTCACTTGAATGAGAAAAAAACATCATTTTTTTTGCAATAACACAAAGGGTTAACAGAAAATAGACTAAAATTAACCTTTCTTATATTTGTTTCTTTCAGAGTTTTGATGATCCTTTGATATGCCATGACCCAACAGGTGCTGTATATCCATTCATTAAGTATTTATACATGTATTCCTTTATAAGCAACACATAAGCCAAGTACGTTCCTTTTTTTTTTTTTTTTTTTGAGATGGAGTCTCGCTCTGTCACTCAGGCTAGAGTGCAGTGGCACGATCTCGGCTCACTGCAACCTCCGCCTCCCACGTTCAAGCGATTCTCCTGCCTCAGCCTCCCGAGTAGCTGGGACTACAGGAACCTACCACCGTGCCCGGCTAATTTTTGTATTTTTAGTAGAGACAGGGTTTTACCATCTTGGCCAGGCTGGTCTTGAACTCCTGACCTCGTGATCCACCCACCTTGGCCTCCCAAAGTGCTGGGATTACAGGCTTGAGCTACCACGCCTGGCCAAGCCAAGTACTTTCAAGAACCCTGTTACTTGGAAAAGAATGTGATGATTACTAAAATTTTTTTAAAAAATTCCAGCATTGGACATTAAAAAACATAATGTACATAAAATAGTATTACTAAACATACACCTTAAGTGTTCAAAATATACAGATATCCATGAAGAATATATTTCAGATGATTTTTTCACTTATTGAAATATAAATTGATATTAACAAGAAAGTCTCATTAACTATTTCATCTGATCAAAACAAATCTCTCTGTTTTATGTTTAAGAGTGTAGCACTAGTCCCAATAATACCAATATTATTATAAACAAAATTTATATCCCTTCTTATCATTTGTTAACCCCTTAAAATTGTCTTGATAATGTAGAAAGTTTAAATCAATACTGTTTGCAAGGCTGGTTGTGTGGTGGCTCACGCCTATAATCCTAGCACTTTGGGAAGCTGAGGCGAGAGGATTGCTAGAACCCAAGAGTTTGAGACCCACCTGAGCAACAAAGTGAGACCACCCTCCCCATCTTCACAAAAAGTAAAATTAAAAAAAAAACAGTACAAGAGTTTGAGACCCACCTGAGCAACAAAGTGAGACCACCCCCCACCCATCTTCACAAAAAGTAAAATAAAAAAAAAAATAGTGATGTGCCATGGCATGCACCTGTGGTCTCAGCTACATGGGAGGCATGGGAGGTTGAGGCAAGAGGATGGCTTGATCCCAGGAGGCTGATGCTGCAGTGAGCCAGCCTGAGTGACACAGCAAGACCCTGTCTCAAAAAAATAAAAATTGACTGGTGAGAATTTCTTGTTAACAAATTTAAAAATTCAATTCCAAAATTTAGAGTTGTCTTAAAAGGAAAGTTCATCAAAACCAAGTGATTATTATGGTGTCAATCACCAGAAAGTATAATTTTAATTATTTCCTTTAAAATAATATTAATATAGTAAGAAAATGAGAACACGCCTATTTTATTTTTGAAAATGTTTTTTTGAAGAAGACCACAGTGACTCATGTTGTTTAGGTCTCTTCCAAATTTCATTTATAGCAGAAAAATACATAAATGCAAGTTTGTATTTACTTAGCATAAACAGGCTTTTCACCTTTGCTTATGTATAGACTAGCAAGAGCATAGCACAGGGAAATGTAATGAGTGAGGTGCTAGGAATGTGGTGCTTTTGTAACAGCACGTGGTTTTTAGAAAGGTTTTATAAATAAATATATGTGAGTTATTTCCTATTATCTTTTTAATCAAAACAAATATATAATTATTAAATATAACCCTGAAATTATTTTTATGAAGATTAAATAGAATAAAACTAAAGGGCTTTGAAGTTCACAAAGTCTCCTAAAAGAATGGAAGTATGAAGTTCCAGAAATGATAAATTTTCATTTTCCCTCTAAGAAAACAACAAATCAAACCACTGCAAACCAGTAGCATATGTGGTAAAATTATTGTTGGGGAGGGGCCAATGGGGAACATGAAAGAGCCATGGTTTCCTCCCAAAACTTTGAAGCAATGAGAACAAAGTTACGTGATGCTGTCTTCATTCTAGAATTTCAAAATTTTTAAGCATTTTCTTTCATATACTGTCAGAAAAAAATGGAAACCCTGGAACTGCTCACCTACCAGAGGTAGGGCTTACTTAACGTTTCTGTGGCAACCTCATATTTTTTCTCTAATAGGTTTCCCCTATCTATTTGTGAGTTACACATGGGTCTAAGAAGTAACCCTTCCTAAAAGACAGTCATTAAGATAGCAGGCAAGTTCATTTTCCCTAGTTATACTTAGCTGGGCAATCTTGTTCCCAGCCTGTGTACTCATTGATGCACCTAATGTAAGATGTATATATACATCTTAATGTCTATTTCTTTGTATGAATTTAATGCTTTATAATATTGAGGTGTTTTGTTTTTTTAAAAAAAAATCTCATTACAGTCAGATGAGCACCAGTTTGGGGAATCAAGATTTTAGAAAACTCATCTCAGTCAGACAACTTCTCTTACCATCATGACCCTTGTGGATTTTACAAGATGTCTTTTCCTTCCCTAATACCATAAACTTACCTTGAAATCCCTCAGTCTGTGAGATGTAAAATATAAACTCTGTTGGTAAAACTCCATTTCAAACATCCCAGTCTATTTCACACTGCTAAAATAATTTTTTTTTTCAGAGATAAGGTGTCCTGGGAGTGGAGAAAGGGCAGTTTCATACATGTTGTCAGCATGTCACATGTTTTTTCAATATTTAAGGTAAGGATCTGAGATATTTTTACCTTTACCACACTTGTTAAGATTTTCCCTGACCTTATGAATTCCTGAAATTTGAAATCCAATTGAATTTTCATAGATATCTCCTTGAACATTAAATTGAAATTGTCTTTAAATAAGACTCTAGCTACAATCTTAACATAAGGATGGGATTCTTCCCCCTGCTTTGTGTTTGCTAACCACTGGTTAGCTTGAGTATTATGGTTACCATTGATAATAATGAAAGAATCTATCTTTACTTCTTCCCCATTTGCTTTTTCTACCGAGAATGTCTTAAAGTTGGTGAAATTCTCTGGATTATAAATCTTGTTTGTGCATAAGCATTACTGGAAAAGCACCTAGCTCTCTATATACTCCCAGTGACAGAGTTTGAGGAAAGTTTTCACTATAATTCTTCAAAGTACAGAAGTAGACATTTGAAGAGTCTGAACAGTAGAGGAGCTTAGGGCTTTTCTGGGAGAATGTTGAGAATTCTCAGATACTCAGTTATTTCATATGTAAATAATTTGTTTATTTGTGAGGATCCATAAGCAAGTAACATAAGATGTCTCAAGAATTGCATATCAGGTCTCAGAAAGAACTGAGTACACAATAGGACTCACTCCAGTTCTAGTGTCTGTCAGAGACTCCAGTGATGCAGCAGTAACTGTAGAAAGTAGCCTTTATATCCTCTAAGAATGAAGACACTGTTTGTTATGTATTCTCTCTCCTCTGCTCTGCTGATTCTCTCTCGCTCTCTTCCTGTCTTTCCCCACTGAAGCACGCACAGACACAAAATCTCCACAAAACCTGAAGTGAATATCATTGGGTGAGGCAGTCCCCATTTGATACAGACATCTTCTTGGGCTGTACTTTTATACCAGGCCACCTAATAGGCCATTGACAAACCTATTGATAACAGGCTTTAAGTGAACAGCTCACTCCTATTCCAGTATATAGTGATGGTTTTGGGACAAGAGGGAAACAAGAGGGAAAGTATTTTAACATTTGGTGCTGAGATTTTTCAAAATGTATGGTGCCCAAAGGAAGCTCAGAAAATCATGTTCTTCTTTATAATATTTTGTTAATCCGAGCTGTGAAGCAGGTTCACTGTACATTGGTTACCAAGCTGTCTGAGTCTGGTGAGACAGAATACCCCCCATACACACACATACACACACACGGACAAGTTATATGAAGTGGAATTATTACTTACAGATAGGCAGCAGTATATGACAGAAGACTGGGATTTAAGATGAGCTAGGTTGAGGAAAGCTGCCTGAGGCAGATAAAATCTGGTCTGTGCATGTCCCAACTGCACCACAGCTCAGGGACTCTGAAAAGCAGCTCAACTCTTTGGGTTTTATACCCTGGGAGCAATAAGACATGCTGGGTTAAAATGTTGAAGGACATCCTGCTTCTAAGCGGGGCTGGAAACAAGTCAGAGTTTTTCTAGTCAGCCCTTCCCTATCTCAGCATGTTTAATTCCCAGAACATTCTAGAGTTATTCTGAAGGACTACCTGCAAGAATAGGGTAGAGCTGGATTGGTCCAAGGTCATCCAGAAGACTGTCCTACAAGAGTATGCACCAGGGACCAGCAGCACAGCATCACCTGGGCACTCAATAGAAATGCAGAATCTCAGGCTCTTCTCTGAGGGACTGAAACAGAGTCTGCATTTTTAATTGACTTCATTTAACAAGTCCTCCAGGTGACTCATATACATATTAAAATGTGAGGAGCACTGCTTTTGCCAAGCTTCCACTAGTCTCCAACTTGACTTTTAATAGACTCTTAATAGTCAATGCATCTGTCTAGATCTTAGATTCCTCTTCATTATGCTAAAATTTCAGGTCTGAAAGGGTCTATAAAGGAATGTTTTACATTTTTGAAGAAAGTAAAGTAAGTAAGAAACACCTCTGTCTGGGGTGCATATTCTGACTCTTAACAGCCTGTGATATATAAGTATGGAATGTATAATCCACTCACTTATGTCAATTGAAGAAAATGATGAGACAAGTCTCAATCATTTTAGGAGATTTATTTGCCAAAGTTAAGGACACACCCTGGGAGACAGGTCTATGCCCTTCTCCAAAGATGATTTGAGGGCTCCAAATTTAAAGCGGAAAGGGTGGGAAGCACACAGTTTTCACATAAGCAAAAGCGGGCAGAGGAACAATGTGGGGAATCTGCCTTTTACATATGAAAACACAGACAAAATGCAGTACAGGAATAATCAGATATGCATTTGTGTCTGGTGGACTGAAGTGGCTGCACCTGTGAAGATAAGCGATCAATTTGCATTGCTATGGTGAAGTTTTAACAGCTCACCAGGAATTTCCTCATGGGCAAAATATGGGGGAGGCATATAGCCTTTCATCTTGTAGCCATCTTATTTAGGAACCAAAAGGGGGAGGCAGGTTTGCGTGACCCAGTTCCCAGCTTGACTTTTCCCTTTGGCTAAATGAGTTTGGGGTCCCAAAATTTAATTTCCTTTCATACTTATAAAAGCAGTGAGAGCACCACAGTGTGTACAGGTCCAAGTGAGAACTTAAATGGACCAACCACTTAGGTGCTTTTATTAGTGACTAATTAATGCTTTGGCTGATGTCAACTTACTGAAGAAACAAAATAGTCTTATTCCAAGAAATAATTTAATGGGAATATTTTACCAGCCAAGTTGAGTTCGAGTTTTACAAAATTACTAACTAGAACTTAATGAACAATTTTAAAGTTGCCTCAAAAAAAGTATAAAATATTTTCATTTTGTTCAAAATGAAGAAAATTTAACTCTGTAAGCCAAAAATAACATTAAAGCTCCCAACCAACTGAATGGATCCCTCTCTTGGCCAAGAGCATTGCAAAGTAAATCTGAAAAACTAGGTCAAGCCATGATGGAAAGAGCAGGTCAGACATCCCTCATTTTACCCTTCTCTCTCTGGAATTCAGGTATGGATGACCAGCATTAACATTAAAACAGAGATCTTAAGACTGACAAAACAGACTGTTTGCAGCAATAAGATACAAAATTCCAACCTGACTCTAGTGTAAGATCCCATGACACATAGTGGGACCCGAAAGAAATCCAAGTATTTTGCCCCAGAATATATTTTTTAACATATTTTGAAACAGCTCTGCAAAGTTGTCTCTTGTGGGGACATCTATATTCTGTAGAGAACCCTCTTCCCTTTCTAGGTCTTTTCCTGATCCAAAAGAAAGTTAACTAAGAGACTGACACATTTTAGGATGTGATGAGACATTTTCTATTTATTCTCTGAAGTCTGCTACTTGGAGACTTCATCTACATAATAAGAACCTTGGCTTCCACAACACCCTTTATCTTAACTACAAGCATTTATTTCTGTTGACTTCAACTCTTCAGGCAAAGCTTTCCCTTTCAACCAATTGCCTTCAGGAAATTTTTGAATCTACCTATAACCTGGAAGTCCCCAGTCTACCCTCTTTAACTCCATCCCTTGCTTCAAATTTTCCTTCCTTTCCAGACCAAACCAATGTACACCTTACATATATTGATTGATATTTGCCTGTAACTTCTGTCCCCCTAAAATGTATAAAATCAAGCTGTAATCCAACCACTTTGGGTACATGTTCTCAGAATCTCTTGAGACTGTACCTCAGGCCTTACTCAATCATATATGGCTAAGAATAAATCCCTTCAAATATATTACAGAGTTTGATTCTTTTGTTATTCACAATTAAATTCAATACGTTTGTCATACCACTTTTTCTTGTAATACTAAATATTTGTGCTCACTAATCAATATTTAAAAATCAAATTTCTAGAGTAATCTAATATTTAAAAAATTCAGGCCTGGTGCAGTGGCTCATGCCTGCAATCCCAGCACTTTGGGAGGCTGAAGAGGGTAGATCACCTGAGGTCAGGAGTTCTAGACCAGCCTGACCAACATAGTGAAACTCCATCTCTACTAAAAACACAAAAAATTAGCTGGGCATGGTGGCAGGTGCCTGTAACCCCAGCTACTCGGGAGGCTGAGGCAGGAGAATCTCTTGTACCCAGGAGGTGGAGGTTGCACTGAGCCGAGAATGCACCGTTGCACTCCAGCCTGGGTGACAGAGTGAGACTCCATCTCAAAAAAAAAAAAAAAATTCAAGAGCAATGTTTGCAATTCTTATGCCTATATCATGAATAGCCCCAAATAAGAAAATGTTGCTTGGTTGACAAATTGTTTCCCTAGATGAAAGCCTATTTTTCTAACTTTATAACACTGTGTTAATCTATTTTTGGATTGCTATGAAGAAATACTTCAGACTGGGCAATTTATTAAAAAAAAAAAAAGAGTTTAATTGGCTCATGGTTCTTCAGGCTTTACAGTAAGCATGATGCCCACATCTGCTCAGCTTCTTTGCGGGGGGGGGGTCTCAGGAAGCTTTTACTCATGGCAGAGGGAAAAGTGGAAGCAGGCACTTAAAATGGCAAGAACAGGAGCAAGAGTGAGAGTGACGGGGAGAAGTGCCACACTTTACAACAACCAGCTTTTACAAAACTCACTCACTAACACCAGTACAGCACCAAGCCATAAGGGATCTGCCCCCATAACCCAAAAACCTCCCACCAGACCCCACCTTCAACATTGGAGATTACAATTCAATATGAGATTTGGATGGGTAAAATATTCAAATGATATCACACGGTATTCTGATACTCTTATTTGTCTTCATTAGGGTGTGTAGAAAGTAATTTAAGAACAGTATTAAAAAATCCAGTTTCCATATAATTTTTTGTCTATGAATAAAATAGTAAATTTAATGTTATTTTTAACAATTTCAATCTCACTTAAATAACAATACACATTTTTAACTTTTAATTCTGAAAAAAAATTAAACTTACAAAAAATTTATACATTTGTTTACATATTGCTCCATTAGCTGTGTTGGACTCAGAAAACAATATCCTAAAATGAAGTCGTCTGCAGCAGTTCTAGATGCAACAAGTTTTCCTCTGACCTTCTCCTGTCCTCCTATTTCTCAGTCCTGTTCCCCCACTGAAGTTATCCCTAGAAGCTAAGATCCCTCCTCCCCAATGTGGGTCATTGAAACCAGCACCTCTTTTGCCCCAAGCCCATCATGAAACCTAAAAATATTATTCTAATTTTTCCTCTACCTTTCTCTGTAAAAACTGGCCATAAAGAAATTACCTGATCTAACTCTTTGACTATAGGTCATAAGTCCCCATTCCAGAGAGGTCCTGTCCCACACCCAGAAGAAAAGAATGCATGCTCAGAGACACCAAGAAGAATCTAAGCAGGGAGGACTTGCGGGTTTTCCCCACTCAGTATATTAACATTAGATCATACCCTTTTTGTCCAAATGTTTAGAGCAAGCAAAAGAATAAAGGTGGGGCTGCAGGCTGATGACTTATGGGACACTTTTTTTTAATTGTCTTCTTATTCTGCTGTGTGTGTGTGTGTGTGTGTTTTGCTTTTAATAGACATATATACTTTTGTGTAGCTCTAGATTTTTTTTAGTATGATAAGTAGAAGAGAAATATCTAAAACTGGTTATCAATAGAAGGGAGAGAAGAAAGAATCCTATGTACACTAGGGCCAATATATTATTGGGAATCAAATATTGTTGTGACACAGATTTCTAAGGGTAATTTAGAAAAACAAGTACTTAACAATATACTTTTAGCTATTTGTGCTCCAGGTTTTATAACTATACTTATGGGTGGAACTTCTGCCAGCACTATGATTTTTTGATAGAAATTAAAGTGACAGAATTATCTTCTCCTGAATCAAATTACCCAGTTAGTGGCTGTGAGATGGTGGCAGAAGGAAGGACATGTTAGAGTCACTCATTCATTCACTCCAGTGAAGTACTAATGTCAATTGTTGAAACATGGAGACTGAAACAAGTTATCACAAGGAAAGAGTATGAAGGTATAAAACATGTTGCCAAAATAATCATTGTGTTCAATAGCCCAAAAGAACAAGTAATTGCCATGTGCAGATACTCATATACTATCTTGTTGCATTTGATTTAATTTTATCCCTGTCATCCATGTAGGTGGCAAAGTGCAGGCACAGTGCATTCTTTCAGAAAATTGAGTTCTCATGACAGTGCTGATCTGTGGATTTCAGTTGTTTCAGAAACTAATTCATCCATAGTCATCACTACTGATTTGAAGAAAGCAGAAAGAAACTTTAATAGAATTAGAAGGATAAACAACCTGTGCATTTATAAATAAATTAATTAAAAATAATTACTGAATATCACTACATATGAGGCAATGGTATACTCACTGAGAGCATAGCAGTTAAAACAGATGAAAGATTCTCTCCTAATGGACTTAGTATCCTGTCATGTGAGAAAGGAAGTAAGGAAACATTAGCTTATGCCTATTGGACATTTAAATTGCGGGTGGGAATTTTTCTAAGAACATTGCCTGTATTCCCTCATCTAATACTCAAAGAGACTTGAATGGGTAGTATTGTTACTTCTATTTTACAGATAAAGATAGTGAAAAAAAGACAAGTTCAGTAATTTACACAGTAATTTGCAGAGTAATGATTCTGAAATTTGAAGCCAGGTAATATAGTTTCCATATATACTAAGCAATAAGAATCCTGAAGACAAATGAGCAGGAAAAGGTTAACTAAAGTAAAAAGTAGTCATGGTGGTGGTGGATGGTATATAATTTGAGAAATGGTGGTCAGCAAGAGCTTCTCTTCTAGGGGTTTTCAAGCAGATGAGGTATCATGTTGATATCTATGGGACAAGCATTGTAAGCAGAGGGAATAGCAAAATCAAACATACTTGAGGACAGTGCATTTAAAGAGCAAAGAGAAGGAAAATATGTGTGAAGCACAGTGAGGGAGTGAGGGAGAGAATGATAACAGATCAGGGCAGAGGAACGTTGGTAGGGGAGATGTTGGGGGAGGCAGTGGTAGCATACAGCTCATCACCTGTTATATGTTCCAGTCACTCTCAGTGCTAAGCTCAGGTACCCTCAGATCCTTTTTTACTATTCCTATGTTCCCTTCTTAGACTTGAGTGTGCTTGCTTTTAGAACTCATCTCTGAAGAATTTTTCTCAGGTTTCTAGAGCCCCTTTCCCAAAGCATAAAAAGCTACTAGTGCTTGAGAGCTACCTCTCCCCATAGCAACTGACAGATGGGTGCAGCATAACGAAAACCAGCTCCCTTGCCTTGGGCCATAATGAACTCCAAGGAGTAACTTATACTCCTGAGTCTCCTTCTAGGATAAAATTAAAGCTACCTTCCCCAGAACTTTGCCTGAAATTGCCCCCTTGCTTTGCTTCTTCCACTCCCCTCATTTCTGTACTGGCTTTTCCTGGGAACTTGCACATGAATCTTCACTTCAGGTTATGTTTCTGAAGAACCCAACCTCAGGTAAATGTGTGTGAATAACCTAAACTGGTTCATCATAGGAAGGAATCTGGAGAAACAGGAATCTGGAGTTGAATTCCTCTATGGTCAGATGGTATCATGACCTCATCATTGGCGGTAAGTGAACTGTTTATGCACTGTGCTATGCTGGAGCTAGAGCAGTGAGATTACCAAAATTTTCATCCATCACAAATTGGAATGTTTCTGGGTGGAAGGAAATAAATTGTTATACGCAATACCTCCTATACTGGACAGAGAAGGTGGATGTTGTAATTATAAGTATTGTCATATTGTTAGTTATTGTTGGATGTAACTGATGCACTGAAGAAGGAAAATGAAAGCCCCAAAACAGACAAATACTGACTCAAGGTACAATTAGCAGTGCTTAAAGAGAAACTCATTTCCTATGGCTACAGCATTGACTATGTTGAAGATCAGACCTAGGACATAATGACAAGTATCAGTACTTTACAGGAAGAGAATCAGCACTTTATAGGAAGCTGGATTTGTCATCTCAGCAAGTGTCCATCAGATAGGGAAGGATATCTGACTGGACTTGTAGTAGGCTTAAAAATGGCTCTTCAAAAGATGTTCACACCCTAATCCTTGGAACCCGTGAATGTTACTTTATATGGCAATAATAATAATAAAAGGGATTTTTGCAGATGCGATTAATTTAAAGATCTTGAGATGGAGAGATTATCCAGGATTACCTGGTTGGGTCTTAAATGAATCCCTATAAAAAGGAGGGAGATTGCTCATACATAGAGGAAAAAGTAATATAAAGATGGAGCAGAGAAAGATTTGAAGACTTTGGCCTTGAAGATTGGAGTTATTAGTAATTTAAAGTCTGTCATGATAATTATGTATTTCTCCTTATTTATCTCACTTTTCACTTTATAATTTTGAAAACTGTTATTGAAAAATACATAGAATTCTGATACATTACTATTGGATCATTCCCATTACCATTATGGTATGTCTTATGTTTAATTATCTTCAGCAATATTTCTTTTTTAAAATCTAGTGTTCCTGAGGTTAATATGGCCCCCCCAGCTTTTAGTTTGTAATTACATGGTATATCAATTTCCATCCTTCTTTCAAACCTTGTACATCCTTTTATTTAATGTTTGTCTCTTTCAAGTAGCAGCACTTTTTCATTAAATCTAATGCAATAATTTAATCTTTTTCTTGGAGAGTTTAGTCCATTTATAGTTAATATAATTACTGATATGGGTGGTTTTAATCTACCACTATATAACTTTTTGTATTTGGTCCATCTGTATGCTGTTCTATCTTCTTTGACTGCTGCTTTCTTTTGAATAGATTGGATAATTTTATCATTCATTCTTATCAAGTTCTACAAGTAACTTGTTAGAAATCCATATTTTAACTACTCTTTAATTGTTACACTAGAGACTATAATATTCATCTTTAACCCATTACACTCTAATTCTGATACTAGTGCAATAATCTAAACTTTATACTGCATTTATCACCTTTTACCTATGTTGTTTGGTAATCATCCTTCATTTTAATCATCCATACAATTTAAAGTTAACTAAATTTTAAAATTTTTAGTTATATTTTAATTATTTGGGTAAATTTTCTCCTGCCTGATGAAATCTTCCCTTTTATCTTTTTCTTATAGTGGAAGTCTGCTGAGATAAACTTTCTCAGCCTTTGTCTGAAAAATCTTTATTTTACCTTATTTTTAAAGAATATATTCACTAAGTATAACAATACTTTTCTAGTAGTTGTTTTCCTTCAGCTCTGTTAAGATCCCATTCGTTTGCCTTCTTGCTTTGAGAGTTTTTATGGAGAAGTCATATGTCACTCTCACTCTTGCCCTTTCAATGTACTGTGTTTTTGCTTTCCCTCAGGCTGATTTTGGTCTTTTTTCTTTGTCTTTGTTTTTCAGCAGTATTACTATGATGTGACTTGGTGTAGATTCACTTGTATTTATTTTGTTGGCAATTTGTTTCACTTCTCAAATATATATGTTAATCATTAATTTTTCTTTTCTTTTTTTTTTTTTTTTTTTTTCTGAGACAGAGTCTCCTCTGTCGCCCTGGCTGAAGTGCAATAGTAGGATCTCTGCTCACTGCAACCTCTGCCCCCCAGGTTGAAGTTATTAAGTTATTCTCCTACCTCAGCCTCCTGAGTAGCTGGGATTACAGATGCCCGCCACCATGCTCAGCTAATATTTTGTACTTTTAGTAGAGATGGGGTTTCACCATATTGGCCAGGCTTGTCTTGAACTCCTGACTTCAGGTGATCCACTTGCCTCGGCTTCCCAAAGTGTTGGGATTACAGGCGTGAGCCCCTGCACCCGGGCCTACAAAATTTTTGTGTTATGTCTCTTCAAATATTAATTTTGATCCATTGGCTTATTTTTTTTTTCTTTCTGGGACTGCAACAGTGCATAGATTAAACATTGTAAGCATGTTCTATTTGTGTCTTACACTCTATTCTGTTTCATCCATCTCTTAACATTCTCTGATTTGTTTGGGACATTTTATATTGAGCCATCTTCTAATTCACTTGTGTGTGTGTGTGTGTGTGTGTGTGTGTGTGTGTGTGTATGTATGTGTGTGTGTGCAGAAAAATGTATTCATATATATTGGCATCTTGAATGAGTGATTTCACTGATTATTACTTAAGGAAAGTAAGGCTGAGGCCGGGTGCGATGGCTCATGCTGGTAATCCCAGAACTTTGGGAGGCCGAGGCAGGTCTCCAGACCTGAGGTCTGGAGTTCAAGACCAGCCTGACCAATATGGTGACATTCTGTCTCTACTAAAAATACAAAAATTAGCCAGGTGTGGTGGCGGGCACCAGTAATGCCAGCTACTTGGGAGGCTGAGGCAGGGGAATCACTTGAACCCGGGAGGCAGAGGTTGCAGTGAGCCATGATTGTGCCATTGCACTCCAGCCTTTGTGACAGAGCAAGACTCTGTCTAAAAAAAAAAGAAAAAAAAAAAAGAAAGAAAGAAAGAAAAATAAGGCTGAAAAAAATGACAGGGTATTATATATTTATGGTTAGGTTTCTAAATAGTTTCATTTGGGGTTTAAAATTCTGTCAGTTGTAAGTGATAATTTTGATGGTATAAACCATATTAATGCAGATTCTTTATAGATTATTTATATACCACCAAAAATAAAGAATGTTGAAAGTATAATAAAATAATATGGTCTTCAGAAGATAAAAGGAAAATTATATTGAAAGCATGTTCTTTGGCAACAGAGATACTTATTTTAGGCTCACAATATTTAATTACCAGCAACTTGAATGTGATCTATTGCTAACATTTTATTCTGCAGATTCAGCTTTTTATTTACTTATTTGCATGATTTGTGTCATTTCTCTAGCCTATTAATAGTGTGTTTAATACTTAAAGAAAAGTCATTATCAGTTTATGTAATTCTCATTAACCTCCCATATGAGACAAATGAAAAAATAACAGATATTTAAAAGTGCATACAAAGAGAAGTTTAGAGGGAGAGATAATACTGAGTGGGCGTGATTGAATTAGGACGCGTTCTACTGATTTCTAGAAGCAGCAGCTCATATTAGTCATCTGTCCCTGCTTTAGTCATAATCCAGCTGCAAGTCATACGCCAGTCAGATGGATAACCTAAGCTGGCAGGAATGTGGAAAGCCATACCCTTTTCTCATATTAGTTTCACAAGATGCAGTTTTAAGGATTTGCAGGAATATTAGGCTGTGTGAGAAGGCCATTAATCTGTCATCTCTATACATCTCTGAGCATCTCAAGATCTTTTTCAATTAAAATCAGATGACTTTGTAAACAAAGTTACTACAGTTGTGTGAAAGCCTGGAAGTCATTGAATAATGAGCACTTCCTCTTCGCTTTGCAAGATGCTTTTGATCAGCCGGATGCTAACCCCAGCACTTCATACTTATGCTCATGAACAGAGTATTGTTCATATTTTCAAGTGTGCTCCATAATCAGATGTGTTGTTTTTCTCCCAGTAATAATTCTTTCCTACTCGTTCACCATATAAATTGAAATGCACATGCTCTTTGGTTTAAACAGTCTTTTAATCTCCACGAAGCATTCTTTGTTAGTTTTGTTTTTCTCCATCTCCCTATGTAAGCAAAGTAATTGTGTTGCTTGTGAGAAAGCAACTATTATTTTATCTAAGATATAAATATATCACTCAGCAGTAGGCCCATGGCTTCTGCATAGCAGAATAGGCAGTGCAAATAGAATAGTCAGTGTTCTTGCTAGAGTATATTTTTCCGCGATGTAGCTCAGCCTAAGAGAAACAGACATAATTAAATATTTGAATGTAATAGCATTGTCCCTGAACACAAAAGAGTAAGCAGAGAAAGTTTTTTTTGTTATAAATGCCATGCCAATAATATCCAAGCATATGGTAATAAATCGTTGAACACTATTGTAAATGTTATGTTAGTAGTCACGTTGTTACCTAGGATAATTTCCCGTGGATTCAAAGTCTCTGTTATGTTAAAATGAAAAATGATTATGGTCATTAGGATAACATTTTTGGTATTCATTCAGCTTTATTCGAGTGGCCAACTCTGCCCCTTTCTCTCCTTAGTAGTTTCCTCTCCAGGAATGGAACATTGAAGAGAGGAAAGAATCATAGACTTTGTTTGTATCCTGCCAACCCTCAACAGAACAGACTGCAATAGGGGAGGAATGGACGTAACCACTAACAGTAAATAACTCTTCTCCAGGAAGCATTTCCAAAGAAGTCCATCACACCTTTGTTCTTGGCAAACATCCTCACTTTTCTGGTTTGCTTTGAAAAGCAACAGGCAGCATGTACACAACAAACGTCACCCAGGAAATAGGCAAGCAGTAAGTGTCATGGATTCCTCTATTTGCTCAGTTCTTACAGAAAATCTTATACATGGACTAGCAAACTGCACAAGGACATTATTTGTCTTGCCCAAACCCTGCAGTTGGTGTTGTCTTTCTTCTCCTGGTGCAGGCCGATGTCCTAGTCCACCCATACAGCTTTTTCTCCTCCATGAGTCCTGTTCTGTTTCTACTAGTACTTCCTGAGCCATATTGTGTCCCTTACTACTGGTGAGCTCTAGCTAAATTATGGATCCCATGACAACAACATGGGCTAACTACAGCCTTTTTACATATTTAAAGACAGAGTCTAAGGAAGAACAAAAACAACTTTTTACAATGAGATTCATAACTAAAGATGCATTTCAATGACTTCTCCTGCCTCTACCACCACAAATACGGCAGATTTAGTGCCTTAGTTACATCATAATTGCTCAGGAAAAAGCAGACTGACATTTCAACTGCTTGTTAGCTACAACTATAGAGACTTGAACTTTGTTTTTCTATATAAAGGGCTACATTCACTATCTGTTTTAATTCTCAATTTAATTTGAGCTGGAATCACATATGATGTCAAATAAAGAAGGTCAGGTGTGGTGGCTCACGCCTATAATCCCAGCACTTTGGGAGTCTGAGGTGGGTGAATCACCTGAGATCAGGTGTTCGAGACAAGCCTGGGCAACATGGTGAAACCCTGTCTCTACTAAAAGTACAAAAATTAGATGGGTGTGGTGGCTCATGCCTGCAGTCCCAGCTACTCAGAAGGCTAAGACAGGAGAATTGCTCAAACCTGGAAGGTGGAGGTTGCAGTGAGCCAAGATCGTGCCACTGTACTCCAGCCTGGGCAACAGAGCAAGACTCTGTCTCACAAAAAAAAAAAAAAAAAAAAAAAAGCAAAAATGATCCAGGAAGAGCAACAAAGAATTTGATTTATAGTCCTGGGTTTAATTTCCCAGTAAAATAGTACAAGCTATTTTATGATGGCATACTTGGAAAGCCATGAACCTAGACACAGGTACACTGTATAAACTCAGTGTGACCTTGCCAAAAGACGCCAAAATGGAAAGTAAAGAGGTTCGGACTAGTGAACCTCACTTGTACAAGAGATGAGAATAGCCAAATACATAGGATCTAACAAATAAACTAGAATTAGAGAATCTTGTTTGAAAAGAAAATAAATCTTGGGGCCCCAAAATCACTAAGCTAAAGGGAAAATCAAGCTAGGAACTGTTTAGGGCAAACCTGCCTCATATTCTATACAAAGTCGCCCCTCTGCTCACTGAGATAAATGCATATCTGATTGCCTTCTTTGGAGAGGCTAATCAGAAACTCAAAATAATGCAACCATTTGTCTCTTTTCTACCGATGACCTGGAAGCCCCCTCCCCACTTCAAGTTGTCCCTCCTTTGCTTCAAGATGGAACCAATGTTCATATTACATATGTTGATTGATGTCTCATGTCTCCCGAAAATGTATAAAATCAAACTGTGCTCTGACCACCTAGGGGAAATGTCGTCAGGACCTTCTGAGGCTGTGTCATGTGTGCATGTCCTCACTTTGTCAAAATAAACTTTCTAAATTAACTGAGACCTCCCTCAGATATTTGGGGTTCACACCAGCTTTTCTTTGTTCTGACTTTTAACTGTATTGTTTTTGGGCAGGGCAATTTATACATTTCCTATGGGGTCTCCATACTACTGTATTTCTTGTAGTATGGTTAAAGGTACTTGAAATAACTTCAACATGGAAAATGGAATCTTGACACCTATGAGTAAAATAAATGCAGGCACCTTTTGTCTGTGAGTTTCAATGAGCAGATGAGAAGGGATTCTCTAGCCCATGGAGAATAAGGGTTAGAGTATCAGCCTATGAGAGTCAAGTGGGGAGTCAAGAACTTTGTGTTTCCAGGTGGCCAGCAACACTTCCCCTTTCTCCTCTTCTCCAAAGGAGTTTTGGGTTAGTCTTACCTGGTTAGGAGAGGGATAGCAATTTTGTCAAGCAGTTCTGATAGCTGTAATAGCAAAAGGACAGAATACGGTGATTACCTATTACCTCAGGTTGCCCTGGAGAGGAGATTCAAGGACTGTCTCTTTTATGAATCATATTTGAGTAGCTCTGGGTATTATTGAGAATGGCCTTGCATTAACTACTCAAGGGACTTATGTATAAGTAACAACCAACCACTTTAATGATAGCATCTTGAACAGGTGACACTCTTACATTTTAAATACGTTTTGCACTTAATCTAAACTGATTATAAAATCACATCATTATGTTTATATATTTAGGCTACAGATTTCAGCTCATTTCAGAAATAATCGGGTTAAAAAGAGAGAACTTTTGATAGAAGTGAAAAAGGACATTTTGGGGTGTGGTTCTCATGCACCTAAAGGCGATTTTGGGGAGATCATCCTACCAAAATGGAAATTTGGAAAAGGAAAGAAGAAAGCTCACATATTAATATTTTGAAACATTAGTATTGTACAGATTTCCAAGGGCAGAGAATATGATTTGTCTGCATACCTCTAGATGGAAAGTTCAATACTCAATAGAAGTAATTAAATAACTGGAATCACAAATAAAGGAAGACGACACTCACGCCATGGAAGGAGATTTTCCTTTCTTTCTTGGCCTTCCTACTTTAACTTCTGCCTTCCCTTTGTACAACGGAAAATCTCTCATCCCGTACCCTTCCATCCTACCCCAGACCTAAATGTGCCTTACCTTTTGAGAAGATCTGTCAGAGGTGTTCTATTCAAGAACAACTCCATCTTGAATAGAAGCTGGGCAACATAATGCTGAGACCTACTGGGTTGCATTCCCAGATGGTTAAGGCATTCTAAGTCACAGGATGAGATAGGAGGTTGGCACAAGATACAGGTCATAAAGACCTTGCTGATAAAACATTGCGGTAAAGAAGCTGGCTAAAACCCCCAAAACCAAGGTGACCATGAGAGTGACCTCTGGCTGTCCTCACTGCTACATTCCCATCAGTGCCATGATAGTTTACAAATGCCATGGCAAGGTCAGGAAGTTATGCTAGATGGTCTAAAAGGGGAGGTATGACTAACCCACCCCTTGTTTAACATATCATCAAGAAATAACCATAAAAATGCGCAACCAGCAGTTCTTGGGGCTGCTCTGTCTATAGAATAGCCATTCTTTTATTTATTTACTTTCCTAATAAACTTGCTGTCACTTTATGGACTCATCTTGAATTCTTTCTTGTGCGAGATCCAGGAACCCTCTCTTGGGGTCTGGATTGGAACCTCTTTCCCATAACAGTTCCAGAACCTGCAAGGTAAGGATGAGGTCGCATAAAAGCTTCGGAAGTTGGAAGTTGGAGAAATTTGGCTTTGAATCTTGTTTTAAAGATAGGGGCTCGCAAATAGAAAACTAAGTCAGAAAGGAGGCAAATGCAAGATCATTCACAGGAGAACTTCCTATGTGAAATCAAAAGACAACAAATGATGTTGGGTAGGAGCAAGAATCCAAGTGACCAGAGGGACAAAATGTGACTTGGGGTGGTTGTGAGAAAAAAAAATCTGTTCAACAAGAATATAGACTCAGAGAGAGAGGGGGATACACTTTCTTCTGTGAAGATGAAATGTGTAAGCAGAGGGTAGAGGCTAATGGGAAAAGACATCTTCCTGGGATGCTTGTCTCTGTACTCTTCAAGGGTTATCTTGCTCTGGGCATTTATAATGGCTTTTCTCCATTTTCTCCAGTGAAGTCCAGTTTTCTAATCAACTCTCATGTCAATCCTATATCTTTTTCATCTGCCTTAAGGATTCCTTGCATGTGCGAGCAGGAAAGTCTTTGAGATTCTTTAACACAGTCAACTAACAAATGGGAAAACTAAGGATCTGGTCAAATAAGTGACTTATTGTCACTAGAAACAGTTGTGGCAAACATTTTTAACAAATCCAAATTTTCTTAGTCTTATTCCAGTTTTCTTTTTAGCGTGCCAGGCTGCTTCCAGTTATTTCATTTCTCCTCCTTCTGAGAACTCTGTGTGTGTGCACATGTGCATTTGTATATGTTGGTCTCTTATGTATATGTTAATAAGGATGGTTATCTAAGGGACAAAATTACTCAGTAAGATATGAAAAGGCTTCTAAGATATATTTTGAAGGTTAATATAACTGCCAAATGTGTTCAAATGGATTTTAATTTACTCTTTAACAATTTATTTGCCTCTGTCTGTCCCCTTGGAGCAATGCCATCAAATAGAAATATAATGAGAGTCACAAATACAAGTTGCGTATGTAATTTTAAATTTTCAAGTAGTTACATTTAAAAAGCAAGATGAGCAAAATTAATTTTAATAATGTTTTTCTTAGCTTAATATACCCAAAATATTATCATTTTAACCTGTATTCTATAAAGAAGTTATTATGCGAGTTTTATATTTTCTCACAATGAGTCTTCAAAGCTGGTGTGTATTTTACATTTTTAGCTCATCTAAATTTAGAATAGCCACATTTAAGGTGTTCAACAGCCATATCTGGTTAGTAGCTACCCTATCAGGCCTTAGAGTATAATTGTTTAGGCACAGCCCTTATTCAGTCACAAAAATCGTAGCCATTGCCCATTTAATAGCTATTATTTTGGTACCAGATTTCAACCATATTCCATCAGTGATTGTCAACAATCAAAATTGTCAACTTCTTAGCACCTTTGCACAGCTTCAAAAATATTTTTGTTCCTATAACTTTAGTTCACATAAGGATTTGTCATGTTTTAATCAGATGCAAGAGCTTTATAGTCAAAACATTACTTAAAATGTCCTTTAAAATTAAATTAGGTTGAGGTATGGTGGAAATGAGCACAAAGTCACATGGTAACCTACTGCATTTTCTGTCATTTTTTGCATGCAAAAGCTATTTTCATCTCTGAAGTGCTAAATAATTGTATGATCTTCTGTTTAAAATACAGAGCAATCTAAAGTAACTACCAGTTGTTCTAGGAAATTCTCTGTCTAGGGCACAACCAAGCCTGACATCTTAAGTGTTTAACAGAAATTCAAATCTTTCAAACTGATTACAGATTCCTTCTCTGCACTTTAGTATTACTGACTTCTACTTAAAGGTTGCATTTTATGACTTAATTAATTGAATAAAGGTATGGATGAAAGTCAGGCATTGGTACCACTGGTCTAGCTAGATTGACTGATATGTGAAATGAAAATTTCCAGTCATTTATGAAATTGTATCTACCAAATGTTGCACTGACTTTACTGCTGCTGAGTTTCTAACACTTGGCTGACACTTGGCTGACCAAATGCAAATACTTAGTGGTTAAATTATAAAGTTAAGGAAAGAATTACTAAATGAAGAAATAGGTGGGTTTATCTGGAGAGAATTTAATTGTATTGATGAAATATGAAGGTGAAATCCATCAGAAAACAATCATTTTCTTGATTAACACAAAATTGGAAATGTTCTTTCAGTGCTTTCTCAACAAAGAAAAAAATGAAAAGGAAGTAGAATACAGACAGTAGAAACATCAACAAAAGACTTTCTTTTTTTTTTTTTTTTTTTGAGATGGAGTCTAGCTTTGTCACCACGCTAGAGTGCAGTAGCACGACCTGGGCTCACTGGAACCTCCGCCTACCGGGTTCAAGTGATTCTCCTGCCTCAGCCTCCTGAGTAGCTGGGATTACAGGCACATACCACCATACCCGTCTAATTTTTGTATTTTTAGTAGAGATGGAGTTTCGCCATGCTGGCCAGGCTGGTCTTGAACTCATGACCTCAGGTGATCCACCCACCTCCGGTCTCCCAAAGTGCTAGGATTACAAGCATGAGCCATTGCACCCGGGAAAGAGCTTCTCTTTTGCGTGTTACTATTTGCTTATTGTGGATTTAACTCCCTCTGGCATGGATCCAACTCTACCATTTTATACATAGACCTAAAAGTTCCTCAGTCACTGTCTGCTTTCTTTCAAAGAAAACGCATCTTCACATGGCTCATCTCTAATCTCTACTTTTCAGAATAATTAAGTTGGCCCGATGTGACTTTATAAGGGAAGTCTTTGGCTATATTAAACCTGAGTTATTTTAGAGGATCTGCCAAGGGCTATCATTCACTCTTTAATTACAAGCGCTAAACAGAAGCCTATAGAGAAGATTAGGCAAATATCTCATACCTCGATGAAATTACCCAGTCAATTTAGATAAAGGAGACCCAAATAAGAAATAATTAAAGGACCCTTAGGAGACGAGTCAAATTCTAATAGTAAAGATTCTTACTCATTTGATATGATTCAACACTTACATTTATGCCAAGAATTTCTGATCCAGAGTGGATGCTGGAGCAGAGGAAAATAAAGAACCCATATCCCGAAGTGTACTGTGACAAATAAACATCTGTTGTACTGGATGCCATTTTAAAATAGTATTGCATTTGCAAAAAGCCACACTCTAAACTGCAAAAGAGCACCTTTTCTTTACTGAGCTAACTGACAAAACATTAAAAAATTTTCTCAATTTAAAAGGATAGTCTATTTTTCCCCACAGAAAAATTTAGAGCACAGACAAGAGATTTCCAATAATACTCACCCAAATGGTGCAAACACTCCCTTAAATCTCAGTGATATTGAAGTGATCAGACTCCTGCTAGGTGGTAACAGGCTAACTACAGTTTGCAGAAGAGGCTTTGAAGTAATAGAGACCTAGGTTTGAACCCACTTTGTCCAAATCTAACCTCCTGGCTTCCAGTAAGTTAATTAATTTTTCCAAGTTTTGGTTTCTAACGCTGCAAATTGGAGGTAATGACACTATTTCAATAGGTTTCTAAGAGGATTACATAAAAAAGCATTTGTATAGTGATTATTATCTTGCCTGTAACATAATCTATGCCCCCAAAACAATTGTTGCTGTCAATATTATAAGTCTCCACATGGATGAAATAATCATGAATGTCACTTCCTGTTTAAAATTTTAAAATAAGCTACTTGCAATAATAATAAAGTTAAGACTCTTTGCCATGTGTGAGGTCCCTTCTCTCAGATCTCAGTTACTAATGTTTTCTGCTTTGCTCAACTCTTTGTCAGCCACATAAATCTTTCAGTTCCTGGCATATGCTAAACTCATTCCCAGCACCTTCTGTTTAGATACTCAATCAGCAGTTGTTGAATAAATGAATCTTTCAAGCTTCTCAAGTGAAGTATTTAATAGACGAGGAAACTAAGGCTGAAAAAGTAGTCCTTATCACTGAACTCTTAAGTAATGAAGCTGAGATTTTAAACCAAACCTGTCTAAAGTCCTACCTTTCCTTACAGTATATATAGAAGCAGGTTTACCATGAAGCCAGTGAAACTTTATGCTTCAGGAAGCACCAAAGCAATGTGGGCATAGTGTCACTTTTTTTTTAAGTAAGATACTTTAACTGAAATTGATCATATAGTTTCATTATGTATTTCCCTTCATGACACTTTCAGCCTCAGTTTTAGAATTTAACGGCAATGCCATGTAAATTTTAGTACTTTCAAATTTTTAAAAACCTCTGTACAATGTTTTTCATATATTATCTGTACAACATGAAAGGCATTGTGACTGTGTTTTTGTGCAGTGGCTAACCTTATATATATTTTGAGGTGTATTGGTGGAAGCTGTTTCCACACTGTGATAATCTGCAGTAATCCAAGTAAAATCAGGACTGACTACAAACCACACAAATACATCCGACTAAACTTAGACTACATATATTCCTCAATATCCCCCAGCCAGATTCCAAAACTTCTTGTAGCCATATGAATACCACTTGACATGAAGTCACGTGATAGAGTAAAAGGAGAAGTTGGAGTGCATTAGTCCACTTGTGATGTTACAACGAAGTACCATAAACTGCTTATAAACAACAGAAATGTATTTCCCACTGTTCTGGAACGTGGGAAGTTCAATGTCAAGGCATTAACAGATTTGGTGATGAGGGTTTTTTTCCTGGTTTATGGTGCTGTCTTGCTGTATCTGACATGGCAGAAAGGGGTAAGCAGTTCTTTGGGGGCTCTTTGGCATTGATAGACACTAATTCCATTCAGAAGGACTCTGAACTCATGACCTAAATACCTTTCAAAGGCCCTACTTCCTAATACCATCACACTGGTGATTAGGTTTTAACATATGAATTTGAAGGGTAACACAAACATATAGACCACAGCAGAGTGAAAATACATAGTTGTCTGAACTGATCTTAGTTAAAATATCTAACTTTTGCAGAAATTAACAAAAACATGTGAACACATTTCTGTAACCCCTTCCCAGTTCCTGCAAAGGGCTCTTGCACCTCTGATCTCTACAATTAGTAATAAAAACAAATTTCATTCAACCATGCTAAAGGAGAGGTAGAATTAGGTATTCATTTTCTCTAGAGAAAATTATATTACAAAGTTCTTTTTCTGAGAAGAATTAAAGAATAAACAGTCAAAATAATTAAGCAGTTAAAAAATTTTTTATTTTTTTCATGTTTATGAAATGTTTGTTTTTTTAAATTTATAACTTGTGATTTATTTTTGTTCTACATAAATATTTACTCTCATCACTAATTTTGCATTTGTAATGCTGATTTGAATAAATTTCAGGCCTCACACTACCTGGATGCATCCTGCTCATCCAATACATGGCACTACTATTCACCTAAAATTCAAGGTTGCTTCTTACATGTACTTGTGGAGTCCTCCAAATATCCTTACATTACCTTTTCTCCAAAGCTTTGGCTTATGTTAGAGCAAAAAATATTTATAGGTGGTGTCTGTGTCTATATGTGTCTCTAAGTTTGCTGTAACCAGGTGAGGCTTGAAAGGAATACCCTTGACATTTATTTGTTATACAATCTGAGTTGGGTATCAAAAATACATCCCATGCCTACATATTATATCATTTTGGGATTTTACTTTGTCAGCTTCAGAAAGTCGGTTCTGAGTATACATTTCTTGGTTACTTTTTTGGCTTTCTCAGAGCCTAGTATGCAAGCAATGAAGAAAACTTTGAATTGAACATATCTGTTCTAAAGTTCTCTGGATTGAGATTGAATGTTCTGTTTCCTGTCTTAAGGGCTTGGTTTGCTTTATATGCAACTTGGTATATCCACCCTGTGGGATTTATGGTCTATTTTTCAGAGTTTGTCCTGAGAGTACTGTAAGTGTGTAGTCTCTAGACATTATAGTGGTTAACATTCTGAGAAGAGGATTCCATTTAAATCATGCGCTATCTACAATTTTTAATACTTCAAATAAATTAATATAATACAATCTTTTCCTATAATATTTCCGAAGGTAGCTTTAACTGACTTAAAATCCTCTACTGGAAAATTAGTTATATTTAATTAACTGGAAAAGCTCAAAGCATGCTGTGTCCTGAAAACTTATTTAAAGATTTACTTGATAAACCTTTATTGGGAAACTGTTCCTTGAAAATTGACCTCATAATAATACTGCCTTGATTTATAGTATATTTTATTTTAACATCTCAGACGTAAGACCATCTTTGAAATATCAGACCATGGTTTACTTAGTTGATGTTCAAAATCAAACAAACTCCATTAGCTCCATTATCAACATGAGAGATACAGGAAAGGATAGATGAATAACCTGTATTTCCTCAACTCTTCCACAAATTGCTATGGCTAGGAATGTGACATTTGTCAAAGCTTTAAGTTGTTATAATTATGAGTACTTTACCAGGAGTTTTTTTTTTTTTTAACTTTAGTATCCTAAGAAAACACCTTAACACATTTTATATTAATTTGTCCCACAGATGGGCCTTAGTAGAAAAAAAAAACTCAAGGTCCTTGTTGAGGAAAGAAGCTATGCTTTTTGTGTGAATACCCTGGGGGTGTGGATGCGTATGGAAAACACACACACACACACACACACACACACACACACACATATGCAAAGTCCAAAGATGTAAGAGGATTCTAGCTTTGGAAATGGTAAGCCATTTTCTTTTTTTCATGATCAAATGTGGCTTATTCTGGGAATACAAAGATAAATCAGTATTTCAGAAAGTTTGAGAAGAATTGATATTAAATCTTCTTTAAAGGTTCTGTAGAATTAAGTGGTGAAGCCATCCAATCTTGGACTTTAATTTGTTGGAATACTTTTTATTACTGATTCAATCTTATTATGTTATAGGTCTCCTTAAGTTTTTTATTTTTTCCTAATTCAATCTTGCCGGATTGGCATGTGTCCAGATATTTAATCATTTCCTCCAGGTTTTCCAATTTGTTAGCGTACAGTTGTTCATAATAGTCTGATGATCTTTTTTATTTTGGTGATATGAATTGTTATGTCTCATTTTTTTCTTTCTGATTTTGTTTCAGTTTTCTCTCTCTTTTTTTTTTCTTCTTGGTGGGTCAAACTAATGGTTTATCAATTTTATTATTCTCTTCAAAAACCAACTTTTTATTTCATTGATCCATTGCATTGTTTTTTCTTTAGTCTCTCTATCATTTAGTTTTACTCTGGTCTTTATTATCATTTCTTTCCTCTCCTAATTTTGTATTTGGTTTGTTCTTGCTTTTCTATATAGTTTCTTGAAGTGCATCGTTAGATTGTTTCCTTGAAATATTTCTACTTTTTTGAGATAGGCATTTATTGTTATAAACTTCCCTCCTTAGCATTACTTTTGCTGTATCTTTTATGTTTTGGTATGTTGTGTTTCCATTTTTATTTGCTTCAATATTTTTTTAAATTTTCTTTTTAATTTCCTCACTGACCCAGTGGTTGTTGTATATTGTTTAATTTCCATGTATTTGTATAATTTCTGAAGTTCCTCTTGTATTTCTCTTTTTTTTTCCATTGAGTTTTGAGAAGAAGCTTGCTATGATTTTGATTTTTTGAAATGTATTGAGACTCGTTTTGTTGCCTAACATATGGTCTATTCTGGAGAATGTTTCATGCGCTGTGTTCTGCAACTGTTAGGTAAAATGTTTTGTAGATGTCTGTTAGGTCCATTTGGTCTAAAATCCAGTTTAAATCCAGTGTTTCTTTGTTCACTTTCTGTCTAGATGATCTTTCTAGTGCTAAGAGTGGGATGTTGAAGTTCCCAAATATTATTGTATTAGAGTCTATTTTTCCCTTTAGATCTAATAATATTTGCTTTATATATCTGGGTGCTTCAGGGTTGCTGCATATTTATTTAGAATTGTTATACCCTTTTGCTGAATTGCTTTCGTTGTCATTATATAATGACCTTCTTTGTCTCTTTTTACCGTTTTTGACTTAAAGTAGCTTTTTTCTGGTATATCCACCCCAACTTACTTTTGGTTTCTGTTAGTGTAGAACAGCTTTTTTTTGTTTTTTCCATTTCTTTACTTTTAGTGTACATGTCTTTACAAGTAAAATGAATTTCTTGTAGGCAACATGCATTTGGCTCAGTTTTTTTTTTTTAATTCAATCTACCAGTCTATATCTTTAATGTAATATGTTTACATTCAAGGGTGTTGCTATATGAAGACTTATTTCTGTTATTTTGTTCATTGTTTTCTGATTGCTTTATATATCCTTTATTTTCTCTTGCTTATTACTGCAGTTTGGTGAACAGGGGTTAGTGGTAAAATTTGAGTTTTTTTCTCTTTCTCATTTGTATGTTTACTTAACAAATGAGTTTTATACTTTTATGTGTTTTCATGATAGTAGGTATCATACTTTTTCTTCCAGATGTAGAACTCCCTTAAGTATTTCTTGTAGGACTGGTGTAGTTGTAATACATTTTCTTAGTTTACGCTTGTCTGGGAGAGACCATTTATCTTTCATTCCTCACAAATAACTTCGCTTGGTATAGTATTCTTGAGTGGCAGGGTTTTTTTCTCTTTCACCATCTGAACATATCATCCCACTGTCTCTTGGCCTGTAAGGCTTCTATTGAGAAATCACTGTCTAATGGAGAGTTCCCTTATAAATGACTAGATACCTTTCCCTTGCTGTTTGTAGAATGTACTCTTCTTCTTTGATGTGACAATTTGGCTATAATGTGCCATAAAAAACATCTTTTGAATTTTATCTATTTGGGGATCTGCAAGCTTCCTGTATCTAGATGTCTATGCTTCTTGTTAGAGCTGGGAAATTTTCAACTATTAATTTGTTAAAAAAGATTTTTATGACTTTGGCCTTCTTTTCATTTTCTTGAATATCCAAAATTTGCCTATTTGCTCACTTTATGGTGTCCCATGTGTCATATAAGCTTTGTTCACTGTTTTTCATTTTTTAAAATGTTTCGTCTGGCTGAACTATTTCAAAAGACCTGTTTTTAAGTTCTGAGATCCTTTCTTCTGCTTAATCTAGTCTACTGTTGAAGATCTTGAATGAATTCTTTATTTCATTCATTGAATTCTTCAGTTTCAAGATTTCTCTCTCTATATATATTTTTAATCTACCTCTCTGATAAATTTCTTGTTCCTATCCTAAATTGTTTTTCTGATTTCTCTGTAATGATTATCTGTGCTTTCTTCTATCTCACTTAGCTTCTTTAATATTACTACTTTGAAATCTTTTTTGGCATTTTATAAATTTCTTTTTATTGGAATCTGTTGCTGGAGAATTATTGTTTTCCTTTAGAGGTGTCAAGTATTCTTTTTAAAAAATATTTCTTGTGTTCTTACATTGATATCTGCATATCTGGTGTAATATTCACTTCTTCTAATTGTTTGGATTGGCTTTTATAGAGGAATACATTACCAGAAGATATATCTGTGGTGTTAGTTGGGTAGAATACTTTAGTTTTGATTCTAGGTATATGCAGTAGTGTAGTCTCCTTATGATTTCTTCAGCTGTAAGTAGCATCAGTGATGCCTGTGATTTCCTCAGTGTCTTAAGCTATGGTTATTAGTGAAAGGTTTGTTGACATTTTTCCGGGGATAAGAAAGTAAGATGGGCCAGTCCTCAGACCCCAGGGTGGCAGCAATGGGATGAGCATGTCTGTCCTTTAGCCCCTAGGTGGCATATGCAGGCACCGGTATTTACAGGTACAACTGGGTCAATTCTTGACCCTACAGGTGGCTTGCTTAGGTGTTGACAGTGGCAGTGGTGGGATGGGCAGGTGGGATGGGCAGTTGGGTGGGTTCTCAGTCCCCTGGGCAGCATGTGTGGTGTGGGCGATGTCAGTAGCAGTGGCAGAACAACCCTTAGGCTCTGACTGAAGTGGTATGCACTGGTGTTAGCAGTAGCTATGACATGCTGGGCAGGCCAGTCCTTAGGCCCCCAGGTGGTGTATTCAGGTTTATTCTGGCTGTGGTGGCAGTAGCAGGTTAGGTAGGCCCATCCTCAGGCCCCCAGGAGGAATGAACAGATGCCAGCAGTGGTGAATGGAACAGGGCAATCCCCAGGCATCTGGGCAGTGTGCTTGGGCACTAGAGTTTGTTGCGGGGGTTACAGGTAGTGCCAGGCTGGGTGGGCTTGTCTTCAGGCCTCTTGGTGACACACTTAGGCTGTAGCTGTGGTGAATAGGACAGAGTGATCCTCAGGCTTCCTGAAGTAGAGCCAGGGTGCTACAACAGCCACAGTGGTGGGCATGGGGAGACTGTTTTCAGGGCATGTGCACAGCAGTCCTGCTGCTGGGGTTCCAGAGTTGCTGTCTGTGTTAGCTGCCCCAGGCAAGTGGCTCTCAGGCTTTAGTGAGTAAACACTTGGACTCTCTTTGTCCCTGGCACACCCTTCCTAGTGCACTGCACCACCATTCCCTGGGGCACAGAAGACCATGTGTGCTAGAGTGCTGGGTCCAATCAGCATTGTGCTGTTGCAACCCTCCATGTGAATGTGGGAGAATGTCAGCAGAGCTTTTGGGATGTGGCAATGCAGGGACTGTTGGGTCCCAGAACAAGATGCAGGCTGCTGAGGAATAAGCTTTCAAAATAATGCTGTGCTATAGCTACTTAGACTTGGGGTATGTGTGGGACTCAGCATAAGCTCCTTCCCTGAGGCAATGTCATCATGTGATCCAGGCATCTTCCTATGCTAGTCTTAGGGCTTGAAAAGGCTGAAAGGCTCTCCTGTAGGTATTATTACAGAGATACACAGTGAGAATGTGGGCCTCGGGATCTCTCACTCACCCTTTCCCCACACTCCAGACTCCCAGCTGATCCCAGATGAGCTGGCTGTCTCACCTACCGCTCCTTCCATGCCTAAGGTGTTTCCTGCTACTTCTCTGTTGAATTTGTGTCCTCTCTTACATTCTCTATTTGAAGTGTGATTATCTCCTTGCTATTTTGGCTCTTTGTGGAAGAGGGGAGTGCTGGATGTCTCTAATCAGCCATCCTGAAGCCCCCTCAGTAACCCTCTTAGACTATAATTTTGCATGCTGAAGCAGTGCTCACTATTAACATTCCCAGTAGACTAATAGACTCTCACATATGGTGAGTTTGCAATAAGAAGTTATAAAATAAACAGATAAGTCAAAGTTTAAAAGTTAAACAGCAGGGCTAATAGAATGTATAACGCACCAGTAGCCTTCTTTCTTTTCAACAAGGATCCATTAATCAATTATTTCCTAGAAATATTTAAATAGTTATAGATCTACCTAAATATAGTGCTATAGAGCTCACATATTTCAATCACATTCAGCAGGCCACCACTGGAGACACTGTCAAATCCTTTGAAAATGCTAGCTAAACTCTGTCAATGAACTTTCTTTGACCTACCAGTCTAACAACTAACAACAGAATAGTTTAAATGATTCATCCTAATTGCAACTCAGCTCCTGACACTACTAGGACATTGGGAGAATGTCTGTGTCTGCCATGTACTTTTGGGAATAAGAGCCTAAAGCCTATGCACCTTAGAAGTGGAAGTGCTCAAACTTACAAAATCTCAGTTACATGAAAGCCATATTCCATCCTAGATTCTCCTTTCTCCCACTTCCCCACTGATAAAACAAAGGTATTCTGTTAGTCTTCTGCTGTAAATGGCAATGATGATGTTCTAATAAAGCACTGGAATTAACCTATGCCAGAAGGCAATGGTTATTGGTTTATTTGTTAGTGGAGGCTTCCCCTAAATTGGATGGCTACAGTGGCTAAATTTTAGGTTTGTGTCACAAAGCAGATTTGGTGCCACACAGCACATCGGGACTCATACTTCTTCTTCCTGTAGTTTCCCTAACAAAATTATCTTTTAATTTTCCAAGTGTTTAATTGCCTAAGTAGAATTAGCAGCATTATGTAAAGCTGTACATAGTTAAGTCGCAAAACTACCAAATTAAAACCATAGAGTGAAAAGCTTCTCTTCCACCCTCTCTCATACATCACTTTCTGTTTTCTTATAATTATTTCCCTTCTCTACAGAAATAGAGACAGACTACAAATATTATTTAGCATCTTGCTAGTCACACTTAATAAATCTTAGGGATATTTTGATATGAAAATATAGTTTTCTCATTCTTTTTGAGAGCTACATAGTATTACACCATAGAACATGTTCCACGATTCATTTAATCAAGACTCTAATGATGAATATTTAATTTTTACTAATATTTTGTTTATGTGGGTTCATATTCTGCATTTATAATTTCAAAATCTGATAATCTCTGAAAATATTTTTAAAGACAATTTTTATGCCAACATTAATTTGACTAAAAAAATCTAATCTGCACAGAGTCACAATTTTTATATGTGTGCTTCCAACAGTCACAGGTGCCCTTTCTGTTTGCTGATATACTATTGCATTTTTAATAATATTTTACTGCATTTGGCATTCTTTTACACTTCATATTTTGACCTTGGTTTTAATTAAACTATGAAAATATTTTTATATCTAAAGCTACTACTCTGGTGACAGTGAAAATCAGACGCAGAAAGTCAGAACATCAGAAAATGCTACTCTGTGATAGTAATATATTGGTCAGCATGTTTGTATTCACTTTGCAGCTGTGATGAGCAAGAACTAAAGAAACAGAAAAACACAACATATGGCATGAAAAATAAAGGTCATGACCATGTGTTGATTATAGTAATAAAACAATCAGAAGTAAAACTAATGTACCAACAAATTTTCTGGCCATTAAATGAGCCAGAAGAGACCACGAAGAGACAATGAAAGGTGAATGTGGATCTTTAGGAGGTTGACTCCAAGGTGTTAAGAAGCACCATGGTGAAACACGTCTAAAAAAACTATGGCAAATAAGGTATTTTGACAAACTTCTTAAAGTAATAATGAAAAATGCAGTTTTGTGCAAATTTACAATGTTGATAAAAAGTTTGGCACTGTGCTACATTCCTAGAAACAACTTAATGATACTGAGGAGAGAACAACAGATAATACCAATAAATAATGTTGACTCTTCTTGGGTATGGAACAAGGATAACTAGAGATATGTTTTCTTATTGCCTCAAAAATAATACTGAAACAGCTATGTGAACCCACTGCAGATTAGTATGACTAGGAAAAATAACTTTAATATGTTATTATTCATGGATGAGTATTTTCCCCTCAATATGACATTTGTAACATGATCATTACACTCATGAAGACCAAGCATAAACACATTTTAAAATGTAAGCATGCAGTAATTAACAGAGGTTGAAGAATCCAAATATTCTAAAAGCATTCAGTTTGTAGGACATATTGTCTCAAATGCTTGGAATTATTTTGATAAATCAATATTAACAAATACTTGGCATAGCCGTCAAACTAGCAATGATGTTTGAAAAACCCTGCTGGTGAAGACTTTAAATGATACTTCTGCATAACTATAAGAATTAATATCAGACCTCATCACTCAAACTAAATTTAATCACCCAAGAGTGTGGAAAAGTTAGATTTTTAAAAAGCACTTGTGTATTATGTAAATAATGCAGAAATTATGTGACTGTTTAAATGTTTAAGTGTGTTAAAAATTGTGTTAAAATGTTAATTGTGTTAAAAATGTTAAAAAGCACTTGTGTATTATGTAAATAATGCAGAAATTGTGTGAATGTTTAAATGTTTCATGGAATATGGGGAGAAAATGTCTGATCAATTAAGTTCTGTCCTTAAATAACATGCATTTTTCTGTGAGCCAAAGACTACAACTTATTATAAACCCATGGTAATGAGACAGAAGACACCAGAAATTTTAAATAAAGCCATCTATAATGAGGTTTAATAATGCTGTGGTATGGTTTTGTCATTTGAGAAACTTGCTCCACATCTACCCTTAGACATGTAACTTCACTCCAATTACAATGATCACACTGATGTGTCCCCTTTTCCAAGGCATGCTAGTATAGCAAAAATTCAGTGTATGTAAATGTACAGGCTTTAAGTTTAGCTTAAAGTTTTATTAAATATTATTCATAGAAAAAGCAGAGAATGTTTATCCTCAATATTGACATTTTCAAAATGTGACCCCTAGAACCAATAGCATCAGCAAAAGGCAAAAAAACTTCATAAACTTCATAAAAACTTCAAAAACTTCATAAAAAAGGCAAATCACAAGGTCCTACCCCACACCTACTGAATCATGCAATCTGAAGTGAAGACCTAGCAATTGTCTTTTCACAAGGCTTGGGGTGACCCTGATGTATGCTCATGTTTGCACACCACTGGCCTATGTTTATGGCATTGTTTCAAAAATCAGTGACTACCATTAAAAAAACCATATGTAGACAGTAATAGTATTTATATTTTTGTTTATTCTACTTAGTGTGAATATACACACATTTCACTGCAGAAGTGGCAGTGATTTAGATATGGGGTTGTGCTCTGAATCCTACTGAGGGTATAATGTAGTAGATGACATACGCATGGTGGTATCCTCCTAAAAATAAACACAAAATCTCTATTTGATAACACATTTATTCCAAAGGTTCAGATAAGGGATTTTGAACCTGTTTAGTAATACAGCAGTGGATAATCCTTTCACATACATACTAGTAAAACTTTGGAATGACTAGAGATAAAATTTCTGTGTCAAAGGGTATATATAACTGTGATTTTAAAAGATAATGCCAACTTCCCTATCTATCTATCTATCTATCTATCTATCTATCTATCTATCTATCTATCTATCTATCATCTATGTATCATCAGTTGTTTTTGCTGGGTGTATACCCAGAAGTAGAATTGCTGAATCATAATGAAGCTCATACACCTTCAGCTTTAGTAAATACTGGTTAAAACGTTTTTGAAAGTCACTGTGCCAGTTCTACCTTGGAGCAGCAGAGCATAAGGATTCTGGCTGCTCCACCTCTTGCCTCTCCATATTGTTTGTCTATTTACTTTTATTCATTTACTGGTTTTTAATGACATTCTATTACAATTTTAATCAACATTCTTTTGATTACCAATGAGATTATCTCTTCACATATTTACTTGCCATGTAGATATGCTGTTTTGTAACATGTCTGTTCCATTGACATGTTATTGGATTTTCTGTATTTTCTGTACTGATTTTTAGACACTTTTCTATATTTAGGATACAGGCCCTTTGTTAATTATTGTGTTAGAATTATTTTGTCTACTTCACGGATTACCATTTAACTCTTAGTTTGAATTTACAGAGAATTTTTAATTTTAATGTATTCTAATTCATTAAATTACATTTATAAGAAGTGCTTTATGTGTTCCCTTTGTAAAAATTTCCCTACCTACCTCAAGCTTATGTTAATCCTGGCCAACATGGTTAAACCTGTCTCACTAAAAATAGTCTCAGATCATTTTCTAAAAGCTTTGCTCTTTTTTCTTTCACATAAATGTCTATTAATTATTTGGAATTAACTTTTGGAAACAGTTTGAAGTAGAGGCCAAGTTTTATATTTTTTAAAAGATGAATATCAACTTCTACTTTTGTCATAAATCACATATCCGTCTAAATTAAGATCTTTTTCTGCACTACCAATGTTGTTCTGTTGTTTATTGATTTATTCTTATGATAGCTATTCTTGACCCTTTACAAATTGCTATAAACTTAGAATTAACTTGTGGTCAGAAACAAATAAAATTGCTGGAACTTTTATTGTAATTGCCTTAAATGTATAGGCAATTTTAGGAGAATTGGCATCTTTTTAGTATGGATCATTACAATTTTTTTTCAAAATACATCTAATTATTAACATCCTCTATAAATTTTTTAAAAATATAATTTTTCCATGAGTGGCCATAAAATATATGCTGCATTAATGACTTGGGATTTCATATTTGTGATGCTATTTGAAATAGTATCTTTTATTGTTAAATTTTCACTTTATTTTTTCTTACATATGTTCTTTGAATTTAGCTTGTATGCAGCAAGCTATTAAACCAAATTATTATTTCTAATATCAATGAATAGTTTATCTTTGAAGTTTCTACAAATATATCATCTGTGAATATGTTTTTTCTTTCCAGTGGTTATAATGAATAGTCCCATAACTACCTAAGAAATTAAATTCATTTTAAAAATCTTTCCTACAAAGGAAAATGTAATCCCAAATGACTTTTATGATGACTGCTAGCATATATTTATTATCTCAGAAATTATAAGAAGACAGACCCTTTCTTAATTTGTTTATGAGGATAGCCTAAACTTGATAACAATACCTGACTTAAAAATTACAGTTAAAAATATCACAGGCCAATCTCATGAATATAAATGCAAAAACCTTGACTGAAATATGAGAAAAGTGACTCAGGAAATAAATAAAAAGAATGGTACAATATTACTAGTCTGGGGTCATTCAATGAATGTAATGGAACTATAACTAATCAATATGTTCAACATTGCATTAGACATTTTAGCCAGTGCAATAAAGAAAAAAGCAAGATATAATATCAATTTGATTATATTATGTTAATATCTTGTAAAGTCTGTGTACACTTTGACATCCAAACAAATGGTAAATATGTATACAGGTGTGTTTCTTATTATATTATATTATAAACAAACACTTATTGAATACCTACAACATACAAAATACACTGTACTAGGTATGGTGGAACATACATGGAGGCAGTAGATTTCACTCCTACCATAAAGGAATAGTCAACCTAGGCACAGAGGTAAACAAGGGATTATTTTACAATACAACACAATACACTATAAGGTGCCCCTTTTCTAGTAACTAACACAAGATGCATATCCTTGATTTAACCTACTCAATTCAGAGGCCCAAACTATTACATAATGACAGTCTGCATAATTTGTATTCTGTAAACTATGGCCACCATCTGACAATAACTTTCCCTATACTGTGTACTATTTTTTCAATTTATTTTATTATATTGGTTGACATGTTGCCAATTAAATCTTCCTGAGTGGCTTAAATACACATTAATCAGTCAAGCCTTGTTGAGAATTACTTCAATCAAATTGCTTCCTTCTAACAAATAATTAGCCCATCTGCTCTAAAAGAAGGTGAACATTGATCTGGGGAAGTTCTTGGGAGGTGGCTTTGTTGAGAGGGCACTCATTTAGTGCAGGTATGTATAAAACACTCTTATAGAAATAGCAAGCCCGATTCGTGTGAAGATGCTTACCAAAGAGTACTGTTCTGTTGCATAAAGTACCACCCAAAACTTCTGGGCATAAAAACACATAATCTGTTTTCCTTATTAACCTGTCATTTGTGCGGAGGTTGGCAGGGGGACTTAATCACTGGTCTCTTTGCATCAGCTTGACTGGAGCTAAACGATGTTTTTTTCCAAAATGAGTTCACTCCTATGGCTGCCAAATTGGTGCTGGTTATCACCTAAGAGTTCGGCTAGGATTGTCAGACATCTTAGTTCTTTTCTGTAAAGGCTTCACAGAGCTGGTTAGTCTGCCATGGAGTGAGCAGCTGAGATCCAAGAGTAAGTATTCAAGGGACAAGGAGTGGATGTTGCCTAAGTTTCTTAAACCTAGGTCTAAAAATCAGTATGGCATTAATAGAACAATCACTTATACATTATTCCATTGGACAATCCCTGCCCAGATTAGAGGGAAGAGAATTACAATCCCACCTATTAATAATGCAAGGAGTGTAAAAAGATTTGGGCTGGCCCACTTTTAATTTATTACAGCCATTAAAACCTTTGACCTCTGAATGAAGGGTTTCCAGGAAGGAAGTAAAATTGATGTAAACGTATAAATTTCCCTGCTTTGAAAATTATCCTATCATCTCTAAAACTAGGAATGAGGAAGAAGACAAACTCATTCTTTGCAATTTCTCCTCCTTTTGCCCATGTGCTTTTTCCTTTCTACACAAAACACCTCTCCCTGCCGTAGGACTGAAATTTTAGGATGGTACTATAAGTATTATACTAGAACTACATTATGAATAAAATTGCCTTTTTATAGAATAACCAAATAAATTACCATAATTTATCACCTTTTTTCTTGCAAGAATACTTACAAACTTTTGTTTTAAAAACTGTCGTAAAAGGAGCTAGATTGCCATCAACAAAAAAATACATTGATTGTCTGCAGACAAATACTTACCATTAATGCCAAGATCGCTTAGCATTATGGGGGCAGAGACACACAGTGACTTTTTTGAGAAGGGCAGAGCTAGAAGAATGGCAGGCAAGAATTATACCTGAATCACAATACCGGGTCAGCACCAACTTCCCAGCCCATAGGTGGTAGTTGGGAAGCAAGGGAATAATAATGGAGCACTAGCAGAGGCAAATGATTCTAAAAGCCCTGTTGGGGAAAGATGTTTTGCAGCACATTCACAAAATTCAAATAAAGACTAAAGAAATAGAAAATGGCAAAATGATTCACATTTTTAAACTGAAAAATAAGCAAAAAGGTCAGCCTTAGTCAACTTAAATGTTCCTAGAGAGTTAATGGGAGCATATTGAACAACCTTTTTTTTTTTTTTTTTTTTTGAAAGGAGACAAGGATTTTTTTCAAAAATGAGATTCTATTTTTTCTAGATTTTAAAAAATATTTTTATGCTGTTCATGTCGGGATCCTAAGTTTAAAGCATTTTTACTGTGTAAAAGTGGGATTTTCGACCCTCAATAAAATATATGTGGTATTTCATGGAGAAATAAAAAAGATTCTAAATTGTCATGTCATTTTGAACAAGGTTCATATATCATGCAGCTCACTGTACTTGGTACTAAACTAGATAGTATGCCAAGACAGCTCCTGAGACCTTTTCTTATGCACCAGCAGAGATCACAGAAAAATAATAAACAATCTGAGGTTGAAAGGGCCTAATTTCTAGTTCCAGCCCAGTTCTGCCAATAGTTTTGTTTTTCATAACCTAGTTTTCTCAGTGGCAAATTGAGGTGGTTGGACTAAGTTCTTTTTAAGATCTTCTTTGCCTTTAATGTATAGTGTTTTATTCTTCGGGGCATTTTTACTCCAGGATGAAAGCAGTTTTCTAAGCATGTAGATAATGCTAATGCATCTAGTTGGGGTTATTTTAGATTAACTTTATTCAACACATAATGTTAAGTGCTGCCCAGGCAAGGACTCTTCCCTCTGCCCAGGCAAGTCTCCTACCAAATACCTGCAGTGCTCCCTTACTTATTCAAGGGCTTCGTTGAAATGCCACCTCTGTCAAGGTCCCTTCCCTGACATATGATTTAAAACATACCCAATACTCTTTATTCCCTAACACTACTGTTTTTTTTCCTTTAAAAATCTTATTTCCACCTGATACTATAATTACTTATTTATTGTCACAATCACTCCCTACACCAGTGGTGTCTAATCTTTTGGCTTCCCTGGGCCACGCTGGACGAAGAAGACTTGTCTTGGACCACACATAAAATACATTAACACTAATAATAGCTGATGAGCTTTAAAAAAACCCACAGAGGGCTGGGTGCAGTGGCTCACACCTGTAATCCCAGCACTTTGGGAGTCTGAGGTGGGCAGATTATGAGGTCAGTGTTTCAAGACCATCCTTGCTAACAAGGTGAAACCCCTTCTCTACTAAAAATACAAAAAATTAGTCAGGCGTGGTGGTGTGCACCTGTAGTCCCTGCTACTCAGGAGGCTGAGGCAGGAGAATCACTTGAACCTGGGAGGTGGAGGTTGTGGTGAGCCGAGATCGCACCCCTGCACTCCCGCCTGGGTGACAGAGCAAGACTCCGTCAAAAAATAATAATAATAATAATAATAAAAACTAAAAAAATTTTAAAAATCACAGAAAAACTAATCATGTTTTAAGAAAGTTTACAAATTTGTGTTGGGTTGCATTCAAAGCAGTCCTGGGCCACATGTGGCCCACTGGCCACAGGCTGGACAAGGCTTCTGTAGACTGTAAGATCCCCAAGAGCAAAAACTGTGTTTCATTCACTTGTGTCTGAGAATGCCTGGCACATTACTAAATAGTTCAACCCATTTCTGACTGATTTCAATGTCCATGTTTTTACCACTATGTCAAACTCTGTGATTTTTCCCTGTAGTCTTAAATTTTTCCCAGGTTGTGAGCTCATTGTCAATGCTTATATAGGACTTTCCATCAAATAGTCGACTTAATTGAAATTAAGAGTGACCTTTCTTCACTATTAAACCAGTATTCAAAATTGAGACTCCAAAAATTCTAAACACTGTTGTTACAGGAAAGGGGTCGAGATCCAGACCCCAAGAGAGGGTTCTTGGATCTTGCACAAGAAAGAATTCACGGTGAGTCTGTAGAGTAAACTGAAAGCAAGTTTATTAAGAAAGTAAGGGAATAAAAGAATGGCTACTCCATTGACAGAGCAACCCTCAGGGCTGCTGGTTGCACATTTTTATGGTTATTTCTTGATGATATGCTAAACAAGGGGTGGATTATGTATGCCTCTCCTTTTTAGACCATATAGGGTAACTTCCTGACATTGCCACGGCATTTG